>NC_000011.10:39150909-39302424 GCF_000001405.40 Homo sapiens | reverse complement strand
GCTATAGGACAAAATAAATCTGAGAGTGAGAAAAGTTGTCACTCTCTGAAGTTATCTTTAGGTTGTTTTATAATTATTTTGTTATCTTTTGCTTAGTGAGAAACTACCTCAATTCTTAGTGGCTTAAAACAATCACTTTGATTTTTCTTCATAATTTTGATGGTAAAGAATTGCAGAACTCATCTAAGGCAGTTTGACTTAAGCAGTGTCAACTAGAGTGATTTGAAATGGAGAATCTATGGCCGGGCGCGGTGGCCCACGCCTGTAATTCTAGCACTTCGGGAGGCTGAGGCGGGTGGATCACAAGGTCAGGAGATCAAGACCATCCTGGCTAACAAGGTGAAACCCCGTCTCTACTAAAAATACAAAAAATTAACCAGGTGTGGTGGCGGGCGCCTGTAGTCCCAGCTACTCGGGAGGCTGAGGCAGGAGAATGGTGTGAACCTGGGAGGCCGATCTTGCAGTGAGCCGAGATTGTGCCACTGCACTCCAGCCTGGGCGACAGAGCAAGACTCTGTCTCAAGAAAAAAAAAAAAAGAAATAGAAAATCTATATTGAATGTGGCTTCTTCGCCACATCTGAATATTTAGCCTCCTTTGCCTCTCCAGTTCTACAGAAGACATCTTATCCTCCAGAGAATCTACATGGCCTGATTATCTCTTCTCACAGTCCAGAGGTCCCAGAGCAGTTGTTTTCTTACCAGGTGACTGGCTTCTAAGAGCAAGTGTTCCAAAAAACAGAAAGTGGAAGCTGTCAAACCTTTATGGCTCATACTTGAAAACTGGTGCAATGTTACTGTGTAACTTATCTGTTTGTGAAAACAGAAGAAAGCTTTACAGAGACCAAGGGGTAGAGAGTTAGGCCCCAAATCTCAAAGGGACAAATATCAACAATTTATGACAATCATCAATCTCCCACAGTAAAAGAATTCTCATGCTAGTGTTTAGTAGAATTATTCTAAATGATATCTGATGAATTGTAGGAAGATGATGTTTTCAGTCTTCTCTTCCAATTGTTAACATGAAGAATGGACTGTATCAAAAGCTTCCAAAGCTCATAATGATAAAGTTTATGTCAAAGCTATGTCAAGGCTATGAAAAAGTTGCCTCTACAGTTATAATCTATAAATCTTGAGAGTTCTTAACAGAAACGTCTGCCTGGACCTTCCTCTTACTTAACTATTTCAGGATTTACACCATAGAAGTAATGTAGTTATTGCTACATTTGCAATAGTACCATTAGAACATGTCACGTTTACGTAACAGTGGCCCTTAAAGACATTCCAGAAGTTGATATTTAAGAATCAGTTTGGTTGAGGATAGGGCAATAGTTGGGAATTTGCTATACAAAATGTTGCTAAGTTGATGTGTATCTCATATAAAAGTGTATACTGCATTGCTAAATGGATAGAATTAACCTAATGTTTATCAACAAATGATTAGATTACAAAAAATGGTGTATATATACAAAATGAAATACTATTCAGCAATAAAAACGAGTAAAGTCATGTTACATGCAGCAACCTGGATGAAACTGGACATAACTGTCTTAAGCGAAACATGCCAGACATAGGAAGACAAATGGCACAGGTTCTTACTTATAAGTGGGAGGTAAATAATGTGTACACATGGACATAGAGTATGGAGTGATAGACAGTTAGGCTTGGATGGGTGCAGGGGTGGTAAGGAGGGATGGGGAGAAATTACTTAATGGATACAATGTACAGTATTCAGGTGAGGGATACCCGCAAAACTCTGACTTGACCACTATGCATGTAACACAACTGCACTTGTACCCCATAAACGTATGTAAATGAAAGATGAAATAATTAGGGAGCAATTACAGAAAAATACTACTTGTCACTTTTTTTCCCTTAAATAGCCACTGAATTTTTTTTTTCACTCCCACTGCCCAGGCTGGAGTGCAGTGGCATGATCTTGGCTCACTGCAACCTCCACCTCCCAGGTTCTAGAAATTCTCATGCCTCAGCCTCCTGAGTAGCTGGGATTACAGGCATGCACCACCACACCCAGCTAATTTTTGTGTTTTTAGCAGACACAAGAGTTTCACCATGTTGTACAGCCTTGTCTTGAACTCCTGACCTCCTGACCTCAAGTGATCCACCTGCCTCAGCCTCCCAACATGCTGGGATTACAGGCATGAGCCAATGCGCCTGGCCTCCATTGAATAAATATTAATTAATATTAACTCTGAGTCAGTCCCTGCATTAAATTATAGTACCCACCCATATCTGTGGGAGATAGGTTCCAATACTCCTGGTGATGCCAGAAACAAGGAATATGTGAAATCCTATATATACTATGCTTTTGCCTATACATACATACTTATAATAAAATTTATGGCCAGGTGCGGTGGCTCAAGCCTGTAATCCCAGCACTTTGGGAGGCCGAGGCGGGTGGATCACGAGGTCAGGAGATCAAGACCATCCTGGCTAACACGGTGAAACTCCGTCTCTACTAAAAATACAAAAAAATTAGCCGGGCGTGGTGGCGGGTGCCTGTAGTCCCAGTTACTCGGGAGGCTGAGGCAGGAGAATGGTGTGAACCCGAGAGGCAGAGCTTGCAGTGAGCTGAGATTGTGCCACTGCACTCCAGCCTGGGTGACAGAGCCAGACTCCGTCTCAAAGAAAAAAAAATTATTCTGCAGAATGGGAAAATCTGACCCTATAATCAGTAAACACTTTTAATTTGTCTCCAACTCTTGCCTACAAACAAGTGCTTTTAAGAAAATATTTACTGCTCCTTGATCTGAGAACATCTTGGCAAATCCAGAGTATTCCATTCATTTTCAGATATAAAATGGTAAAATTTTAAAGTTTAATTTATATATCATATATTTTATACCTATAGTACATATTCTATGTATATAGAATATGGTATAATAGTGTATACATTTTATACTGAAAGTATATATTTTGTACAATTATTATTATTATTATTATTGAGACAGTCTCGCTCTGTCACCCAGGCTGAAGTATGGTGGTGCGATCTCTGCTCACTGCAACCTCTGCCTCCCAGGTTCAAACGATTCTCCTCCCTCAGCCTCCTGAATAGCTGGGATTACAGGCATGCACCACCATGCCCGGCTAATTTTTGTATTTTTAGTAGAGACAGGGTTTCACCATGTTGGTCAGGCTGGTCTCAAACTCCCGACTTCATGATCCGCCCTCCTCAGCCTCCTAAAGTGATGGGATTGCAGGCGTGATCCACCATGCCCAGCCTATACAATTAGTTTTTAACAAAAAATTTAATTTTTATTTTTTTCTTGGTACATAATAGATGCATATACTTATGGGGTATGTGATAGATTTTGATACAGGCATACAATGCATAATAATCACTCCAGAGTAAATGGGTATTCATCACTTCAAGCATTTATTCTTTCTCCGTGTTACAAACATTTCAATTATACTCTTTTATAAAATAATTGTTGACTACAGTCACCCTGGTGTACTATGAAATACTAGATTTTATCTAACTATGTTTTTGTACCCATTAACTATCCCCACTTACACCCCCAGACTTTGGTAATCATCTTTCTACTCTCTGTTACCATGAGTTCAATTGTTTTAATTTTTGGCTCCCACAAATAAGTGAAAACATGAGAAGTTTATCTTTCTGTTCATGGCTTATTTCTCCTAACATAATGACCTTCAGTTTTATCCATGTTGTTGGAGATGACAGGATCTAATTCTTTCTTAAAGCTGAATGGTACTAGGTTGTATATGTGTACCACATTTTCTTTATCCATTCATCTATTGATGAACACAGGTTGCTTCCAAATCTTAACAATTGTGAATAGTGCTACAATGAACATGGGAATGCAGATCTCTTCAATCTACTGATACATAAATATAAAGTGGGATTACTTTTTTATTTCTCTTTCAGATTGTTTGCTGTTGGTATATAGAAATGCTATTGTTTTTCTATGTTTATTTTGTATCCTGCAATTTTACTGAATTTATCAGTTCTCATAAGTTTCTTTATTGGTGGAGTCTTTGGGGTTTTCCAGATATAAGATCATACCATCTGCAAACAAGGATAATTTGACTTTATCTTTTACATTTTAGATGTCCTTTATTTTATTCTCTTGTCTGATTGCTCTAGCTAGGACTTCCAGTACTATATTGGATAACAGTGGTGAAAATGAGTGTTCTTGTCATATTCCAGATCTTAGAGAAAAGGCTTTCAGTTTTCCCCATTCAGTATGGTACTCGGTATGGATCTGTCATATATGGCTATCATTATGTCGAGTTATGTTTTTTCTATTCCCCACTTTTTGAGGGTTTTTAATTATGAAGGGATTTTGAATTTTATCAACTACTTTTTCTGCATCAACTGAAATGATTGTATGGTTTTTGTCTTTCATTTTATTGACATTATGTATCACACTGATTAATTTACGGATATTGAACTACCCTTGCATTCCTGAGATAAGTCCTACTTGGTCATGATGAACGACCTTTTTAAGTTATTGTTGAATTTGGTATGTTTTTATTTTGTTGAGAATGTTTACATCAATGTTCATTGGGGATACTGACTGGTAGTTTTCTTTTTTTAATGTGTCTTTATCTTTTTTTTTTTTTTTGCCAGTAATACTGGCCTCATAGAATGAGTTTCATGCCTCTCTTTTTCAGAATAGTTTTGAGTAAGATGGGTTTTAGCTTTTCTTTACTTTAAATGTTCAGTAAAATTCAGCAGTGAAACCATCAGTTTCTACAAATTACTCTCCTGGGAGACTTTTTTTTTAATGGCTTAGATTGTATTACTTTTTATTGGTCTGTTAAGGTTTTGAATATCTTCATGGTTCAGTCTTGGTAGGTTGCATATGCCTAGGAATGTATCCATCTCTATTAGGTTTTCTAATTTATTGGTTTATAGTTGCTTATAGTAGCCTCTGATGATTCTTTTAATTTCTGCAGTATTGGGTGTAATGTCTCTTTTTCCATCTCTGATTTTATTTATTTGGATCTTCTCTCTTTTTTCTTATTTGGTCAGGCTAAAGGTTTGTCAGCTTTGATTGTTTTCAAAAAAACAACTTTTTATTCCATTGATCTTTTGTATCGTGTTCTTTGTTTCAATTTTACTTACTTCTGCTTTGATCTTTATTTATTTATTATTTGATCTGCTAATTTTGGGTTTGGTTTGTTCATGCTGTTCTAGAAGATGAATTTTTATGTTGTTTATTTATAGTTTGTCTACTTTTTGGATGTACTTGCTTATAACTATAAACTTCCCTTTTACTATTGTTTTCACTGTATCCCCTGGGATCTGGGATATTTTGGTTATATTTTGCTTTGATTACCATTTGTTTCAATTTCAATTTCCTTCTTAATTTTTTCATTGACTTACTGGTAATTCAGGAGCATATGGTTTAATTTCCATGTGTTTGTATAGGTTCCACTATTCCTCTTATTATTGAGTTCTAGTTTTAGTCCATTGTGGTCAGAGAAGATACTTGATATTATTTCAATTTTAAAAAATTTTTAAGACTTTTTTTGACCTAACATATGGTATAACTTTAAGAATTACTCATGTGCTGAGGAGAAGAATGTGTATTCTGCAACCATTGGATGAAATTTTCTGTAAATACTGGTTATGCCTTGGCTGGGTGCAGTGGCTCACGCCTGTAATCCCAGCACTTTGGGAGGCCAAGGCAGGTGGATCATGAGATCAGGAGATCGAGACCATCCTGGCTAACATGGTGAAACTCTGTCTCTACTAAAGATATAAAAAAATTAGCCAGGCGTGGTGGTGGGCGCCTGTAGTCCCAGCCACTCAGGAGGCTGAGGCAGGAGAATGGTGTGAACCCAGGAGGCGGAGCTTGCAGTGAGCCAAGATCACACCACTGCACTCCAGCCTGGGCAACAGAGCAAGACTCTGCCTCAAAAAAAAAAATCTATTATGTCCATTTGGTCTATAGCACAGATTAAGTCCAATGTTTCTTTCTTACTGTTATGTCTAGATAATCTGTCCAGTGCTGAAAATGGGGTGTTGAAATCTCCAACTATTATTGCATTGGGGTCTATCTTTCTGTTTAGCTCTGATAATATTTACTTTGTATATCTGGGTGCTCCAGTTTTGAGTGCATATATATTTACAGTTATATCCTCTTGCTGAATTGACCCCTTAATCATTATATAATGACCTTCTTTGTCTCCTTTTAAAGTTTTTTCTTACAATCTATTTTTCTGTATTTTTCTGACATACATATAGCTATTCCTGCTATTTTTTGCTTTCCTTTTTTTTTTTTTTTTTTTTTGGGATGGAGTTTCACTCTCTCACCCAGGCTGGAGTGCAGTGGCGCAATCTCGGCTCACTGCAAGCTCTGCCTCCCCGGTTCATGCCATTTTCCTGCCTCAGCCTCCCGAGTAGCTGGGACCACAGGCACCCGCCACCACGCCTGGCTAATTTTTTGTATTTTTAGTAGAGAGACAGGGTTTCACCATGTTAGCTAGGATGGTCTCGATCTCCTGACCTCGTGATCCATCTGCCTCAGCCTCCCAGAGTGCTGGGATTACAGGTGTGAGCCACCGTGCCAGGCCCTGCTTTCCATTTTTATGCAATATCTTTTTCCATCTCTTCATATTTTCAGTCTGTATTTGTCTTGATAGGTGTAGTGTTTCTTGTAAACACTAGATTGTTGGGTCTCACTTTTTTGTCCATTCAGCCACTTTATGTTTTTGGATTGGAGAGTTTAGTCCATTTAAATTCAGTGTAATTATTGATAATTAAGGAATTACTCTTGTCATTTTGTTATTTGTTTTCTGGTCTTCTCTTCTTTCCTTCCTTCTTATCTTCATTATAGTTAAGGTGATTTTCTTTGGTGGTATATTAACTTCTAGCTTTTGATTTTCTGTCTATTCATCGTATGTTTTTAGATTTGAGATCACCATGAGGCTTGCAAATCATATCTCATATCCATTTTTTTAACTGATGACAACTTGATACCAATTACTTAAACAAACAAAACCAAAGCAAAGAGAAAACGAATAAAAACCCTATACCTTAACTTTGTCCCCTGCTTTTTAATTTCTTGTTTCTTCTGTTTATATCTGTCTGTACTGTCTATATCTTGAAAAGTTATTGTAACTATTATTTTTTATAATTTCATCTTTTAGTTTTTCTAATTAAGATATGGGTAGTTTATATGCCACATTTACAGTACACTGTACCAATGAGTTTTTTACCTTTAGATGATTTCTTATTGCTCATTAATGTCCTTTTCTTTCAGATTGAAGGACTCCCTTTAGCATTTCTTGTTACACAGGTCTGGTATTAATAAAATCCCTTAGCTTTTATTTGATCTGAGAAAGCGTTTATTTCTCCTTCATGTTTGAGGAATATTTTCACCAGATACACTGTTCTTAGATCATTTTTTTTCCTTCAGCACTTTAGGTCATGCCAGTGGTTTATACTATTATTAGTATAATGTATATTTCTTATCATATACTTCAAAATATGTTGTTATAATTAATTAAGTCTACTTATAACCTATGATTAAATACAAATTAATTATATTATAATTATATATTTTATATTAAATTACTTGATTCAGAATTAATTAATAATAAAATAAAATAAATTAATTAATTATAAAAGTTCACCAAGTCAAAAAAGCTTTATCTCTTCCGTTCAAAGCATCTCCTCTTCTCAAGCTCAGGTTTCACCCAAAGTGGGTAAGGAGGATGTGGTGATTTTTTTCTCCCTTTATTGCTTCACCCTATTTTTGCAGGATTGTCTAGGATTAAATCAAGGAAAGAGGCAATTAGAAAAATTAAGGAAAATAAGTTTCCCATTGACCTGTGCCATTGTAATGTCATCATCAGTACCTTCTGTCTAGCTGTCACTCAAGGTTGTTTTTTTTTTTTCCATAAGACAGATATGGGAAGTTTTTGTGGGGTTGGAGGGGAACGGGAGGATATGGCCTACAGGATCTTATAAACTGTATTTTCTTGATGATGGTGATGTACTTTGCACTTCCTACTATTGGTCATTCAACCTAAAGTTTCTATTTATTAAAAATTTCTATTGTTTGCCGGAACAGCCATTTTCTTGTGAACATTTCTTTAAATATGGTTTAAATTTGTCCCATCCACCTGACTCGCAAAAAATTAACTCAACTTCATTACTCCAAAAAGAAGACAGCCAGCTTGCCAACTTCTGAACTCTGTATTTGCCCTGCTCTCTTGCTCTCATGTTTTTTTTTTCCTTTCTTAATAATAGCTTATAAGAGGAGCAGTCTCCAATTCTATGTTCACATATATCTCCAAACTCCACAGGATCCATAGTCACCTCTTTCAAGAGCTCCTTACTACTATGATGGCAATGATTCCTCATTATGTCATAGTTCAGCAAACATACAGCCCAGACCGCCATGTCAGCCTCTCCTTTTGACAAATGCTTGTTATGAAGAGGGAGAAATTATTTTCTTTTCTTTAATTTTCAACATGGAAGAGAGGGGAAGTTTTGACCTTCTTCTCTTGTGGCTGCAATTCATAACTGAGTCTTTCCTTTTTCAATGAATCATTCTACTAAATACTATTTAATAGTATTTAATCTATTCAATATAGTATATTAATTACTATATATATACTAGACTAATATAGTAATTAGTATAGTATCTATTAAATAGTCTGGCATTATGTCATGAAACTTATGGTTGCAGAATATTATCTAGCATATTTCTGATATATGGAGATAATTATTGGCTATTTTTCTTAAATTTAGGGCTTCAGGGAAATTCTGAAACAGTATTCTGTTACATCAAATTGGAGCTCAGAGGAGTTTTATTTAAATGTTCAGACCATATGGAGAATGAATATAAGGGCATATTAAGGGCCAAAATAACCTACAAAAATAATGATTTTCCTATAGGAAAAAGAAAAATCATAAAAACACCATGAGGAGTTCTAGCATTTATAGTTCTGGTGAGGGAGAAGAAAGAGATTTGGAAGGAGACCAAACATGACTACAGTTATAAGAAAGCACTCAGGAGAGTGTAATATCTTGAAAACTCTAATACTAAGGGCTCTCAGTTGAAGACAAGTAAATTTTCTCTAGTTAGTTTAAGCCAAAAGATATTTATTTAAAAACATTATGTAGTTTACAGTGTCTTTGGGAAGATAACAGAATTGAGCGTGGTTGTGTAACATCCCTAAAGAAATTAGCCAGATAAAATGCCCAGACTCATCCTGAAATACTATAGCTGCCACCTCACTAAACTTGGCATCTATGACATTAGGGTATGGAAAGTAAGAACTTCATTTCATTCAGAAGAAGAATCAGATAGGTCTGCCACTATACTTGCTTATGTACCCAATATTCCTGCCTCACTACCTGACTTTAAAAACCTAGAAGTCATTGGTAAAATGAAAAGCTATTTCATTATATTTGTGGGAGTATAAGCTTCCCTGCAGCTTGTCAAGAAGTAAGTGGGGTATGGGATTTTGTACAGAGTATGTATAAAACTCTTGAAAACTTTAACACTAAAGGAAAGTAGAAAACTTGGATAGTAACGGGAAGCAAGTATTTACCAAATAATGATTTTCTTTCATTGTTTTGCTTTTAGAATGACAGACATTAACATACATTTCTGTGCTGATTAAAATATTTTAGGCCGAGCGCTTTGGCTCACGCCTGTAATCCCAGCACTTTGGGAGGCCGAGGCGGGCGGATCACGAGGTCAGGAGATCGAGACCATCCCGGCTAAAACGGTGAAACCCCGTCTCTACTAAAAATACAAAAAAATTAGCCGGGCGTAGTGGCGGGCGCCTGTAGTCCCAGCTACTTGGGAGGCTGAGGCAGGAGAATGGCGTGAACCGGGAGGCGGAGCTTGCAGTGAGCCGAGATCCCGCCACTGCACTCCAGCCTGGGTGACAGAGCGAGACTCCGTCTCAAAAAAAAAAAAAAATATATTTTAAAGGATAGAGAGACTAATAGATATTAATAAATTTAAGATTCGACTGTGCATGGTGGCTCACACCGGTAATCCCAGCATTTTGGGAGGCCAAGGCGAGCGGATAACTTGAGGTAGGCAGTTCGAGCCCAACTTGACCAACATGGAGAAACCCCATCTCTACTAATAATAAAAAATTAGCCAGGCATGGTGGCACATGCCTGTAGTCCCAGCTACTCGGGAGGCTGAGGCAGGAGAATTTCTTGAACCCAGGAGGCAGATGTTGCAGTGAGCCAAGATTGTTCCACTGCATTCCAGCCTGGGTGACAGAGCAAGACTACATCTCAAAACAAACAAACAAAAACCAGTTAAGATTCAAAAATACTGGCCGGGCGCGGTGCCTCATGCCTGTAATCCCAGCACTTTGGGAGACCGAGACAGGTGGATCACGAGGTCAGCAGATCGAGACCATCCTGGCTAACATGGTGAAACCCCGTCTCTCTACTAAAAATACAAAAAATTAGCCCGGCATGGTGGCAGACGCCTGTGGTCCCAGCTACTCTGGAGGCTGCGGCAGGAAAATGGCATGAACCGGGGAGGCAGAGCTTGCAGTGAGCCGAGATCACGCCACTGCACTCCAGCCTGGGTGACAGAGTGAGACTCTGTCTCAAAAAAAAAAAAAAATTAAAAAATATTTAAAAAGGCAAGAGGGAATGAGATAAAGAGTGTAGATTGAGCAAGTGGTCTTTGACTGAAGAAATACATCCTTAGATATGAAAGGAGGATGTGTTAGTCCATTCTCACACTGTTATAAAGAATTACCTGATACTGGGCAATATGTGAAGAAAGGAGGTAAAATTGACTCAAAGTTCCACAGGCTATACAGGAAGCATGGCTGAGAGGCCTCAGGAAACTTACAATCAGGGCAGAAGGCAAAGTGGAAGAAAGCGTATCTTACTATGGCAGAGCAGGAGAGACAGAGAGTGAAGGAGGAAGTGCTATACACTTTTAAACCATCAGATCTCCTGATAATTCACTCACTGTCATAAGAACAGCAAGGGGGAAATCCACCCCCATGATTCAATCACCTCCCAGCAGGCCTTCCCCCAACACTGGGAATTAAAATTCACCATGAGATTTGGGTGGGAATACAGAGCCAAACCATATCAGATGGATAAAGGTAAAGATTGGCAAAGTCAATACTTTAATTAAGAAAGGAAAGCTAATGATGTGTCTGTCATATATTTTAATCTAATCAAAATATACATTAATGTCATCATTTGATATAAAGATGGAGAGTAGAAATTGGGAGAGTCTGGTATGAAATGTAAATTTTCTTAAGAAACATGGCACTGGGATTGCCAAGTTGTGTTGAGTGTTTGTTTGAAACATGGAATTATAATTTTAAAGTAAATCCAGTCTGCCAGGTTATGTTATTAGGTTGCGGTCAAAATGATGAATCGCAGATTAACGTGGATAAAATGAAAAGTGAAGATAGGCATTTCTTGATAGATATAAATCAGTAACATAATGTGAAGGTCATTACGTGTTCAAAAATATTTAAGTGGAGTTACTTGAGTAAGTAGAGAGAAAAGACAGGGAATTATGGTGCCAGAATAGAAGGCATACATTCAATAATTTGACAATACTTAGAATTTGGTGCTAATAAATCCTAAAAAGTGTCATTGGAATTGACTATGACATACGATGATTGGGGAAGAGGAGGAGAGAAGGTCATTGATGATTAATGATAAAGAGGTGAATAACCTGAGACCAGAGTATTGGTGAGATCATTTACAAAGATGTTGCTGTGGTTTGAAGGTTTGTCTCTGCCAAACCTCATGTTCAAATTTTATATCTACTGTTGGAGGTGAGACTTAATGGGAGCTGTCTGGGTCATGGAGGTGGATCCCTCCTGAGTATAGTAATGCCTTCCATGGGGGGTATTGAGTGAGTTCTACTATATTCATTCCTGCCAAGAGCTGGTTGTTACAAAGCCTGATATATTGCTCTTCCCTCTCTCTCGCTTTCTCTCCATGTGACCTGTGTACAAGCCAGCTCCCCTTCATGTTTCCCAATGAGTGGATGAAGCCTGAGGCCCTCACCAGATCCAGATACCCAATCTGGAACTTTTTAGCCATCAGAATCATGAACAAAATAAGCCCTTCTTTAGAAGGTACTCAGCCTCAGGTATTCCCTTATAGCAATACAAAATCGATTGAGACAGATAACTATGGCTCCACTGATAATTACAGGAGCTCAAAGAGAAAGAAAAACTATGAACCAGTTTGAACCATTTTAAAAACTGAAGTTTATTTGAATCAGTAGGGTTACTCACTGAAGCCAAAGGATGACACCAGGGAGTCTGTAGAGAAGGAAGGGAGAAGCTGGGTATCTCTGATTGTTGCAAATATCAGGCAAGTAGGATTTTTTCAAGGGGGTAGAAAGTTGGTGTTCTAAAATTTAAGTGGTGAACAATATATATAATTGCCCTATCAATTTATGTAAAAAATTAGCCAGCACTTCAGGTGCCAGTAGAGAAAGCAGTGCTGTCTGACAGCAGCTGCATTTCAGTAAAAGAGATGATATAAATATTTGAGAAGCAGTTGCAATGTAGGAAAATTGTATCATCACCTTTTAGGGAATCCAGAGGACACAATGGAAGGGCTTTGAAGAAAGGGAATGTGTGGGGGAATTATCTGAATTATTTGGTCACATTAAGAGGAAAGAATGGGAGTAAATGTCTGAAAGACAGTTGAATGTAGGAGAGGCTTACCCTTCTAGCAATGATTTGAGTAAGCATATCTGGGAGGTATGGTAGTCTAAATTGTGATAGGCTTTTAGAAGTTACCTGTATCAGTCTGAGTTCTATCTTGCACACAGCAGGATAGAATTTGATGTGAAAGATAACTTTTATAAGGAATTCTTTGTGAAAGATAAATGTAGGCAAGCAATTAGTAGTCAGAGAGAAACTTCAGGCCTCAATGCAGGGCTGAAACCTGTTAAAGAAATGATGGAAAGAGAGAAGTTTATATAGAAGGAGCCTCAGAGTGTAGTCTAGCTCTGAGAACATTTGGGGCATAATGATAGGGAACACTCAAACAAAGATTTCCCAAGTCCTTTGCTAAGCAAAAACAGTAAAGTTCTAGACCCTGCTAATGATTAGTTAATGGCTGAGGAACATGACCTCAGTGTTTGGGAAACACTTGTCTCAGCCTGCAGGCTGATTCCTTACAGAAAGATCTCATGAAGAGATTTGAGTAGCATATCTTTGTGACTGTCACAAGTAAAGAATTCAGTTCTAGACTATCAGAAGGAATAACTCAATTTTAAGGAAGCTTCCTTTGAAGATGTTCCCCGCGATGGTACATTTCTCCCCCAGAATTAGTTATATCATAAAGTTTAAAAAATGTTTATTAGATTCACATCTTAGTAAAGAAGACATAAAAGAGTATTAAAATAAATTAACATAATTATACAATGTGGTAAAATCCATCAATTGTCCTTATGATGTCTTTGAAAAAGAGGTGAAAGGAAGTGACTTTGCTGTAGTATAAATTGATGAATTTTCAACTTTTTGAATGGCCTTGCCAAAAAATTATTCAATTATTGATCAATGTTAGTACACTGGCAACTTTAAAGTGACATCTCTAGAACTTGTCCTTAAAAATATCTCATTCAAGTTTTTTTTTTTGTAATCAATGATTTAAAATGTCAATGAGAAACATCAGCAGGTAGTAAGAAGCTGATGGGAGAAATTGACTGTTTGGGTTTCAACACATGAAAGAATCAGAATCCAAAATTATCTTAAGTATCTACTATGGCAAACTACAAAAAATTAAATAGGAAAAGATTTATCTCACAATTTCAACATTGTAAATGTAAGATGATGAGAATCACATTCTGTGTTGCTATGCCCAGAAAAAACCTGGCAGTACTGCACTGATATTTGGAATGTTACATTTAAAAAAAGATCATTGACAATTCAAGAGCTTTCACAGGATAAAGACAGGGCAGGCAGGTGATTTAAAGCTGTGTCACATACTTAACACCCATCAATAATGGTTGGCATCCCACTGGTCTTAGAATTAAATTCTAAATTGTAAGCATGTGCCACAATGCCTTCTCTCTGGTTTTCAAGCACAACAAGCACCTTTGTGTCTCAGAAAATTTAAACTTGCTCCTTTCTCTCCCTGAACGTTCCATCCCTTCTCACCCTATAATCAGTTCAAGCAGCCACCTCAGTGTTTCTGAAGAGATGCAAAGGAGGATCTAAGTGTAACCTAACCCAGATTTGGCTGCTCGCCACTTGAAAGCCAAGCACAAGAGATGAGAGTTGGTGGAAGGAAAAGCAGGTTTATTCCTCAAACCATGAAAATGGCGGACTAGTGTACTAACATAGCTTCTTAAGTCAGTACAAATTTCAGGCTCGTTTTTTGTTAAGGGGAGGGGAAGAGAAAGAGGTTGTAATCAAGAGGTGATCAATGACCACACACATCTGAGCACCCGTGAGGATCTGAGATTAGGAACTTCTTTGTCCTTGGTCAGGTTACAACGCTCCTGTAAATCTTTAAAAAAAAAAGTGAGTTGCTTGCATACTTTCTCTTTAATCCTAGAGTTTATATTAAAAACTACATGACTGCTGTTTTTGCATATTATCTCAGTGTTCTGAAATTATACTAGCCTATGTGCAGGAATGGGCAAGGGACCCTTAAAAATGGAGTTAGTTTTGCTAGTTCCTTTGCAAGTTCACTTTTACAATTCCCCACTGTCCAAAGGCTCATTTCACTATCTTGTGGTACCTTGGAAATGGGATGTCGTCTTTCATCTGCCTACTTCCTGCTTCAAAAAATCAATAGGGGGCAACTGTGGAATGAAATCAAGGACCTGAATACCAACTGGATGCCAGATTCTTGTTTTTTTCTAAATGTTTATGAAGACTCAATTTCCAAGTCAAAAAGGATGTAGGGCCACATCTATGGGATGAGTGGTCTTGCAAGAAGCAAACACGAACAGAAGTTAGTATAGTGCCCTGTGTCTTAACATATTTGGCAATTGTTAACTTTCTTAACACCTCAGTTGGTTTTCCCACCAGGGTAGAATCCTGGAATGACCTACCATATAATATTTCAAAGAGACTCAATTTGAGCCTATTTTGGAGAGCTGTTCTAATACACAACAGAGCAACTGGAAACACCTTATCCCAAGTCAGATTAGTTTCTTGACGTATTTGGACAATACCTTTTTTTTAGGACATGACTTACCAGTTTTTTTCATCAATTGTGTTCTCCAAAATGACAATCTAAAGATTGTGGAAAGAAGTAAGTCACAGTTTTCCCTGGCATTCCTGTATCTATTATAGTCTTTATCAAATAAGGGTATAGGCAGGCATTAACTACAGAATACATAGCACCTATGTCAATAAGAAAGTCAATAAGTTTGTTTCCCCCTGATATGGTTTGGCTGTGTCCCCACTCAAATCTCACCTTGAATTATAGTAATCCCCACATGTCAAGGGTGGGGCCAGGTGGAGATAATTGAATCATAGGAGCAGTTCCCCCATGCTGTTCTCATGGTAGTGAATAAGTCTCATGAGATTTGATGGTTTTATAAATGTGAGTTCCCCTGCACATGCCTGCTACCATGTAAGATGTGCCTTTGCTTCTCCTTTGCCTTCTGCCATGATTCTGAGGCCTCCCTAGCCATGTGGAACTTTGAGTCCATTAAATCCCTTTCCTGTATAAATTATCCAGTCTCAGGTATGTCTTTATTAGGAGCATCAGAACAGACTAATACAGTAAGTTAATAGAGTAGAGTGGAATGCTGCTATAAGGATACCCTTGTGAAAGAGACTTTTAAACTGGGTAATGGGCAGAGGTTGGAATGGTTTGAAGGGTTCAGAAGAAGATAGGAAGATGTGGGAAAGTTTGAAACTTCCTAGAGACTCGTTGAATGGTTTTGACCAAAATACTGATAGCGATATGGGCAACAAAATCCAGGCTGAGGTGGTCTCAGATGGAGATTAGGAACTTGTTGGGAACTGGAGTAAAGGTAACTCTTCAATGTTTTATTAAAGAAACTGGCAGCATTTTGCCCCTGCCCCAGAGATTTATGGAACTTTGAACTTGAGGGAGAAAATTTAGGGCATCTGGCAGAAGAAATTTCTAAGCAGCAAAGCATTCAAGAGGTGACTTAGGTGCTGTTAAGAGCATTTAGTTTTCTGTATTCACAAAGATATGCTTGGGAATTGGAACTTATGTTTAAAAGGGAAGCAGAGCATAAAAGTTCAGAAAAATTTGTAGCCTGGTGATGTGATAGAAAAGAAAACCCCACTTTCTGAGGAGAAATTCAAGCTGGCTGTAGAAATTTGCATAAATAGTGACAAGCAAACTCTTAATCTCCAAGACAATGGGGAAAATGTCTCTGGGTCATGTCGGAGGTCTTCATGGCAGTCTCTCCCATCACAGGCCTGGAGACCTAGGAGAAAAAAATGATTTTGTGGACTGGGTCCAGGGCCTTGCTGCTTTGTGCCTCCTTGGGACTTGGTGCCCTGTATGTCAGGGGTGGTTAAAAGGGGCCATTGTAGACCTCAGGCTATTGCTTCAGAGGATGTAAGCCCCAAGCCTTGGAGGCTTACACAGGTGTTGGGCCTGCAGTTCAGGTGCACAGAAGTCAAGATTTGAGGTTCGGGAACCTCTGCCTAGATTTCAGAGGATGTACAGAAACACCTGGATGTCAAGGCAGAAGTCTGCTGCAGGGGTTGAGCCCTCATGGAGAACCTCTGCTAGGGCAGTGCAGAAGGAAATGTGGGTTCAGAGCCCCTACATATAGTCCCCACTGGGGCACTGCCTAGTGGAGCGGTGAGAAGAGGGCCACCATCTTCCAGACCCCAGAATTATGGATCCACTGACAGCTTGCACTGTGCACCCGGAAAAGCCACAGATGCTCAACACCAGCCCATGAAAGCATCTGAGAGGGTGGCCGTACCTTGTAAAGGCCACCCAAGTGGAGATGCCCAAGGCTATGGGAGACCCCTCTTGCATCAGAATGACCTGGATATGAGACATGGAGTCAAAGGAAATAATTTTAGAGCTTCAAGAGTTGACTGCCCTGGCCGGGCGTGGTGGCTCATGCCTGCAATCCCAGCACTTTGCGAGGCCGAGGCAGGCAGATCACAAGGTCAGGAAATCAAGATCATCCTGGCTAACATGGCTAACAGGTGAAACCTGATCTCTACTAAAAATACAAAAAATTAGCCAGGCGTGGTGGCAGGCACCTGTAGTCCCAGCTACTCGGGAGGCTGAGGCAGGAGAATGGAGTGAACCCAGGAGATGGAGCTTGCCGTGAGTCAAGATGGTACCACTGCACTCCAGGCTGGGTGACAGAGTGAGACTCCATCTAAAAAAAAAAAAAAAAAAAAAAGATTTGACTGCCCCATTGGATTGCAGACTTGCATGGGGCCTGTAGTTTCTTTGTTTTGGCCAATTTATCCCATTTGGAATGGGTGTATTTACCCAATTCCTGTATCTCCATTGTATCTAGGAAGTGAATAACTTGGTTTTGATTTTACAGGCTCATAGGCTTAATGGACTTTCATTGTCTCAGATGAGACTTCAGACTGTTAATGCTGGAATGACTTAAGACTTGGGGGACTGTTGGGAAGGCATGATTGGTTTTGAAATGTGAGGACATAAGATTTGAGAGGAGCCAGGGCCAAATGATACAGTTTGGATATGTCCCCACCCAGATCTTACCTTGAGTTATAATAATCCCCACATGTCAAGGGTGGGTCCAGGTGGAGATAATTGAATCATGGGGAGTTTGCCCCATACTGTTCTCATGGTAGTGAATAAGTCTCACGAGATCTGATGGTTTTATAAATGGGGATTCCCTTGCACAAACTCTTGCCTGCTGTCATGTAAGACATGTCTTTGCTCCTCCTTTGCCTTCTGCAGTGATTTTGAGGCCTCCCCAGCTATTTGGAACTATGGGCCCATTAACCCTCATTTTCTTTATAAATTACCAGTCTCAGGTATGTCTTTATTAGCAGTGTGAGAACAGACTAATATCCTTACTGTCAATTATACACCAAGGGCTCCTGTGGGAATATGATGACAGGTTGACTAAACATATATATTTAATAGGTTATAGGAGAAGCTATGAATATTTATAAAAGTAATCTTGACACATACATACTGAACAAGCATGTATATAACATGCAACCCATATTCACCTTGGAGACTTAACGTTTATATGTATTACAATTCAGCCATATATATAAGACACAAAGGCACACAAATGCAAAATTTCTATAAGCCACTTTGAACTAGTTTATGGTCAGTGGTCTTTATATTAGGAGAAAGTTACTGTAATCCATCTCTTATTTACTGAAAGCTGTAGTTTTTCACTGGTGGAACAGGGAGGGGCTTGGGGTCAGTTAGTCAGGATCTGGTGAAGCTGAAAATTGTTTTAATGTTGCTTAATATGAAGCCAATGCTTGTGTACCTGCTAGAGAAAAAAGAAAAACCTCCTGACTGTTAGAACATAGTTTATTATTTAAGTGTAGGGGTGTGTGACTTAACCCTTGCCTGTGTGGACTTAGGTTTTGTTTATAATTTGCTATCTTATTGTCATAAAAAGTCTGTTCTGTCAGTCTTATAATCTCTATTTTAACAATAATGCTGGTCAGTTGCTGTGCCTAAACCATAGAAGGGAACGAGAAGAATAAGGCATGTCTAACCTCCCACCCCATCATGGATGAGATCAAAGTTTGTTTGTTTGTTTGTTTTGTTGTTGTTTTTGTTTTAGTTTTTGAGACAGTGTCTCTCTCTGTTTCCTAGGCTGGAGTGCAATGTTGTGATCTCAGCTCACTGCAACCTCCGCCTCCTGGCTTCAAGCAATTCTTGTGCCTCAGTCTCCCAAGTAGCTGGGACCATAGGCATGTGCCACCAATGCTCAGCAAAGTTTTGTATTTTTAGTAGAGACAAGATCTCATCATGTTGGCCAGGCTTGTCTTAAACTCCTGGCCTCAAGTGATCCACCCACCTCAGTCTCCCAAAGTGTTAGGATTACAAGTGTGAGTCACCATGCCTGACATAACTGGGAATTAAGTTTTTAAGGTTTCATTTTTCTTTGGAAAAGTGAGGGGCCCATTTCATCTGTGGGGTCTTAGGATTTTATTTTTTTAGTTTATATCTTCCCTGTTTTTTGTCAGCATATGCCAGAGGCAATATCAATGACCAACCTTTAATTTGTCCCATATCATTGCCCTGGTCCATCCCATCCACTGTTGGAACTCCTATTGCTAACTGACTTAGAGTCAAAAGACTGATAGACAATGAATCATTCTAATCCAAATGGGAATGGAGGTGGCTAGGTGCTCATTAATCCTTAGAACGTTTTAAACTAACATAAGAGCCAAAAACCAAAAGCCAAAAAGCAAGATTATAAAATTGACTTAGTTCTATGTGTTGAGCCATCGGCTGTTTAGGCACCTATGTGCCCATATTTGATTTGGAGTGTCTGAACTAATTTTATCCCACAAAACTGGCCCTTGCAATCTCATGCACCCACCTCTTCTGAGATTGTCCCTGGGATTAAAAGGAGGGTGATTAATATTGTGTAGCTTTAACAGCAGCATGTTGGCAATATAAAACAGATTAGCCCAGTAGAATTGAACAGTTTTAAAATTCTGAAGATATTAGGTAGAAAGAGAAAGGCAATCTTTGTTGTTTTATTCAATTTCTGTAAGCTATAAATAGTTCAAAAAGAAAAAAAACTGTTTTCTTGATTGTAGAATGCAAAAACCACAAAGAATTGGCAACATTTTAAACAAAAAGGTCATAAGCCCTGCCTTGTTTTGATAAGACAGGAAAAGAAAGCTAACAGGTAGCTAAACATTTCATTTTTTTAGCATAAAGAATTTAGATAGAAGCAAAATTATTAAACAGGTATTCATGTTTTTACATATAGTTCTGCCCCTGTGTCTCATTAAAGCAGTTTATTTTGATTGTCACTCTTTCCTGGGCCTGAAGATGCAGCTTTGGTTAATTTTGGTGGTGACATTCAAGATTTAGCAGCAGTCTGTGCCTTTTTAGATGAGATGGATATACCCAGAAGTCAAAACCCTGTAACTTAACAGCACAGGATTCGTTAATAGCACCTGATACAGACCCTTTCAAGGGGCTGGAGGTAGTGATACTGGAGTCCACGTCCTGACTGGAAGTTATAAAAATAGTCTACAACCTTGCAGTGATTAATTTTTATAGCTTTGTAATAAGTCAAAGGCTTAGTTTAGAATTTTGGTTTTGAAGATGTTAATCAAAGATATTAAAAGGCCGAAAACATTTAATTACAACAGAATCATAGGTTATTGTAAAACAATAGTCATTCATTTAGCTAAGTTATAGTTAAAAGATCTTAAAGGCCATGCGGATATTTACATGAATGTAAAAACCATAAACATTTTAAATCTCAGTTTTCCTAAGTAATCAAAAACCTAATAAAGACAACGTAGTAATTATCTTGGTAAAATGTAAAATCTTGTTTTTTAAGCTGGTTATCAAAAAGGCAATAGAAAACTTTCTGCAGTGTGAGTGCTTCTACTTACGAGAAGCCTATTTAGATAACATAGAAGTCAAACCTGATGAAATGAGTACTCAAATTTAATCAGGTATAGGAAAAGTGTGTTTAAGGTTATGAGTATCGCAGGGAAATACGTGACTCTTTGTAACTGCATGAGTTTTCTGATTAGATTGAAAACTTTAGACATACTAACAAAAGCAAGAGTATAGAATCAAGTTATAATGGAGGAAAACATTGATTTTTCTAGTTCTTCAGGATAAAATATTTCAGCATCAGGCCACAACAATAGTTAGGACCAGAGGGAAAAAAGTTGCAGGAACTGACAAAAATGTTGAAGAAAACAGTTATAATCTTAGGTTTTCTGAAGGGGCAAAAAAGCTGAAAGCAAAGAGACACACAAAAGTTGAACTACTGAGATAATGAATCTGAGAAGTTTTCAAAAGAATTAAGTTACAAAATTAAAAATTAAAATTTCTTATAATTTTGTTAAAAGTAAATCAATACCTTAAGAAACCTTGTTTTAACATATTACAATATAATAATACTATCATAAATAATTTCCCTTTAATTATAAGCAGCTTAATCATATACAACATTTCTTTCATAAAATACCTTCCACGAACCATAATATGACTTATAAAGACTAACTACAACTTGGTTGGATGTTTTTGATTCATCCTATGTTTCCTCTTTTTAAAATAACTAGTCGTTTTATTTAGCAGAAAAATTTACCATACAAGATTCCCTTTCATACAAAATTATTCTCTTTTCTTTATAACCTTTCTTACCAAAACTACATCTTTATTGCTGCAGCTCTTTTCACATCTCACTTTCCTACTTTCTGGTTCACTTTTACCTTATTTTTCTTTTCTTTTCTTTTCTTTTTTTTTTTTTTTTTTTTTTTTGAGATGGAGTCTCACTCTTTTGCCCAGTCTGGAGTGCAGTGGCGCGATCTCGGCCCACTGCAAGCTCTGCCTTCCAGGTTCACGCCATTCTCCTGCCTCAGCCTCCTGAGTAGCTGGGACTACAGGCGCCTGCCACCACGCCCGGCTAATTTTTTGTATTTTTAGTAGAGACGGGGTTTCACCGTGTTAGTCAGGATGGTCTGGATCTGCTGACCTCATGATCCACCCGCCTTGGCCTCCCAAAGTGCTGGGATTACAGGCGTGAGCCACCGTGCCCAGCCCCCTTTTACCTTATTTTTCAAATAACTTTTATATAACTTTCAAATTACATACCATTATTCTTTTTCTCAATAAGAACATAACTTACAGAATTTATGTTTTAATTAGAATTATTATTCTTAGTAATCTTAACTGTTGATAAAAACCTAGGAAGAAATTCTGAAGTGTTTATGAGATGGTAGCATTTTATAGATAAAACAATGCCACAATTTTTAAAAACATGTTTCTCAACTTTATAACCCTTTTTTAATTGGAAATGACCCAGACATACAATGAGCATTTATTATTCAATTCAAAATAACTTTAAGATCTTAAATTATACAAAAAGTTACCTATAAGCATTGATCCCATTTACATATACTCAATTTTTTGAATAGTTTCCCTAGAATTTCTCTGAAAACTGAGATATTAGACAAAGCTAGCCATTATTTAAAGGTATTTCTCTGTTAACCATTTTAAAAGCCTATGATCATCAATTGTTTCCCTAAGAACTTTAAGTTAAACACACAGGCATTTTGCCAGTAACTCAGAAGATTCAGTTGTTTTCACTGAACCACAATTTTAAATTATTCTTACTTGTCAAAAGGATCACACAAAGATTATTCTGGTTTTGGCTGGGTTTACAATCTTGTAATCTTTGTGCCAAACCTTGACTCCTTGAAATATCTAGCAGAGGCAAATATAATACTTAACACACAAAAATGTGTGCTAACAATTTTGAATATATTTTCTAAATTTTTATTTTACCAATAATTTTAAAAACATCTTATTTATTAAGGATTCACTAAAGTCTTGTGAATTTGAAAAACATTTGGACTTATTTACTTAATTTGTATGTGCTCTCTTATTTGTATGTCAATTTATTACTATGTAGATACAGGAAATAAAATAATACATATATATATAATGTAAACATACCTAAACGCATATACACACACCCAAATAAGAACTTTAATTTTTTTTCCCCTTGGAACTCTAGCCATGAGATAGGAACTCACAGGTTTACATGAGATAGCTGGATCCAAATGGTATTTCTGACAAAACTGGGACTTGTTTATATGTCTAAACGTATTTTGCCATTATAGGTAATCAAGTGAAGACTGTCGACTAAAATTTTGGGTAAAATAGTTTCCATGGCAGTTTGATTTTAAACCCTCTTTTACTTTTTTTTTTTAGTTTTAGTTTTTTTTTTAGTTTTAGTTTTTAATGTTTATATATTAGCTAGAACTGGATGAACTATATAAGAAAAACAAAATTTTCAAGTAACATTGAATTACTGAGGTTTATCTCCACACTAGTAGCTCCGTAACAGTGGATTTAAAGTAGGCAGAAAAGAAAAGAGAAATAGAGATATTTGGAACACTCTACTTAACTATAATTGCAGATTAACTATTTGAGCCCTGAATGTTTCTTACTATAATTTGTCCATTAGTTTTTAAATGTGTATAAAAGTAGGCCATAATATGTAACTAGTTGGAGTCCCAGAAAACCTGACATTTAAACGTGCCTTTAAACTTGCCCATGTTTTTAAACATGTAAGTCCAGGTCCCACAAAAGCAACCGACATAAATGCAAACGACCAATTCTCAAATTAGGTAATAGTCCAACAACTATTCCTTTCTGCAACAAGGTACCCCAATCAAATACACGGAGTAGTTTATTCTAAGGAAAAGCCTAAGTGGAAGGAAAGACGCTTGCCAGTTGTGCATACTAGAGTCATTTACCCAGTCTTGGAGCCTGTGGACTCCACCAGACACCGCATTTCCTTATACCAACAAGGCATTGCAGTCAGTGATGACACGAAGGGGAAGGAAGGGAGAATTCCTAAGGCAAAATGTTCTTAACAGCTGCCGATATGTCCCTAGTCATGAGCAGCAGGCACTCATGAATGGTTTTTGATTTGCCCCATAGCATGAATGGTTAAGCCCGGGCACGCTGCTGTGGTCAATTGCTTGGTCCCTTGGAAACACAGCAGGCTGGAAAACGCAAGCCACACAGTCCCACGTTGTATGCCATTAAATTGTAATTGAACCTAGGTTCTGTGATTTGCCACTTCAAAGCCAAGCACAAGAGATAAGAGTTGGTGGGAAGACAAGCAGTTTTATTCAGACAGCCGGAAAAATGAGAAGGTGGTGAACTAGCATCCTACAATATCATCTTAGGTCAATATACATTTCAGGCTCTTTTTATGTTAAGGGCAGGAGGAAGAAGAGAGAGTTGCAGTCAAGAGATGACTAACAACTGCCCACATCTGGGCACCAGCAAGCATCTGAAAAGATTGGGAAATCTTTTGTCCTTGGTCAGATCACAATGCTCCTATAAATCTTTAACAAAACATAGTTAGTTGCTTACCTAATTTCCCTTTAATCCCAGAGTGAGTTTTAAAAACTACAAGATTGCTGTTTTTGCATATCATCTCAGTTCTCTAAAACTACCCTAGCCTACATGCAGGAATAGGTAAAGGCCGATTAACCAAAATGGAGGTAACATAATGGTTAGTTCTTTCACTGTTTCACTGTTACAGAGCTTTTACAGGATAAAGACAGGACAGGCAGTTGATTTAAAGTTACGTCACATACTTAACATCTATCGATAGTGGCTGGCATCCTATTGGTCTAGAATTAAATCCTAATTTGTGAGAATGTGCTATAGACCTTCTATCTGGTTTTCTACAACACCAAACATTTTCATGTCTTAGGAACTTTAAACTTGGTCCTCTCTCTTCCTTAACTTTCCATCCCTTCTAACCCTATCATCAGTATAACCAGTCAACTCAGTTCTTCCAAAGAGATGCAAAGGTGCATGTAAGCACTTACTTGCATGCTTGTATGCATGTGCACACACTGGCACACTTGTGTCAAGACTTGCTTCCCCAACGTTTAAAATGGTACCTGTAATGTATGACCCATTCAGTAAGTACTTGTTTAATAAATGATGCAATGAATGTTTTTGAATAAATGAGTATGCTTAAGCAGACAGAAGACTCTTGGGAGTAGATGGGTAGACATTGAGTACGTTGTTTAAAATATTTGGAGGGCTTTATCTTAGAAAATCTATTAAGTGGCTTTGGTGAGATAGCAAGCTGCAGAATTAGAAAAAAAAATTAAAGCTACCAGGTCAAAGTTTAAATATTTGGGAAAGTTTCTAAGTGGAATAATTATCTGAATAATAGATTACTGCTTGAAATGCTGATTTTTTTGGTCACTATATATGTTAATAAACCTAATTTCTTTGTTTCATAGGAACACTCTTATTTTCACTTTCTAAAGTCTCTGAAATTGGAATGCCTCCTTCATGTGATGGTGTCTTAAAATTGCTATTGTAGTTGTTACTTTCCATGAATTCCTGGCCATCAGACAGTATCAGCATTAAACTTAAGAATACTTATCACTGGATTGAAAGATAATTGCAGAGTCACGCCAGGCATTAAATGGGGCTGTGGAAATAGGAAGGGAGATGGTGATCCGATGTATAGTAGAAGTCCTGAAATAGGTTAGTGATGCTGTCTTGCCAATACTTTTGATAACCAGAAAATTATTTTGTGTGAAAAAAATATAAAAAATAAGCATTTGAATCTTTAGTTAATTCAAATAAATAAGGTGCTGGGAGTATAGAAGTTTTAGAATTGTGTAACCAATTATTTTGTTTTTATTTTCCTTTGATGTTATTCAAAGGTAATGTATAAAAAATGATGACTACTTAAATCTAGACAAAGGCTTTAATAAATATAGAACTTAAATTCTGGGAAAACACTGTATCAAAGTTTAATTGGCAGTGTCTCTTTTTTATCTTTCAAATGGTAAATAAACTTATGCTTCAATAGCAATTTAATCTTATATTTTATGAAATATGATTTAGGTTCTATACTGTGCTACCATCTAAAGAAGGTGGTGAAGAGCATACAGTTAAATTAGATGGATAACTAAAAGTTAACATACTAAAATTCTATTTTAACCTTACCTTTCTTTGTTTATGTGTTATGGATTGAATTTTGGCCCACAAAAATATATGTCAAAGTCCTACCCTAGGAATCTGTGAATATGAGCTTCCCTGCAAGTAGTCTTTGTAGATAGAATTAAACTATAATAAGCTTATATTCAACTAAGGTGGGCCCTAATGTAATGTAACTGGTGTCCTCATATGAGAACAGACACAGGGGGAACACCATATGAATACACAAAGACAAAGAGGAAAGATAACTACGTGAAGATGGAGGCAGAGATTGGAGTTATGATGCCAAATCCAAGAAATGTCTGGGCTACCAGAAGCTGGAAGGGGAAAAGGAGGACCCTTCTGTAAAGGGTTTGGAGAAAGGATGACCCCATTGAGAACTTGATTTTGGAATTCAAATCTCAAGGACAAATTTCCATTGCTTTAAAATCTGCATTAGTTTCCTAGGGCTGCCATAACAAATTACTATAAACTCTGTGGCAAGGGCCATACTCTGTTGCAGGGTCTAGGAAAGACTCTCTTTCATGCCTTTCTCCTAGCTCTGGTGTAACCAAAAATCCAAGAAGTTTGTCAGCTTGCAGCTTTAAAATTCCAATCTCTGTCATCACATTCTCCCTCTATGTCTTCACATTGTCTTATAAGGAGACAATTCATATTGGATTAAGGGCTCATCCTGTTCCAGTATGACCTCATCTTAACTAATTACATCTGCAACTACCTTATTTACAAATATGATTATATTCTGAGGCACTAGATATTAGGACATCAATATGTCTGTTTGTAGGACATTATTCAACTCATAACACTAAGTTCACAGGAGAAGTTATTTTCTGTTTTAGCTAGCTAAAAATCACAGTAGTGTACCTTTAGTTTCACTATATTGAAAACAGTTTCTTGTAAACACCTTTTAATTCATGTTGTTAGACAAAATGCTGATTTGTGGTTGTAAAGTGTCTAAATTGTGTATTCTGAGTCTTAAGCACTCACAAATGTAAAGAATGTTATTTCGTCAGGAGTCTGACACATTTATTTCATTACGATATATATTTCACTGTTCCTATTAGGAAGAAATAATAAAGACCATTTTTAGGACTCTGGAACTTTAATATCTGCCTTAATTATTCATTCAATAAAGATAGAATAATCTTAACTAGTCTTTTAAAAATGAATATTTTAAAATAGACAATACAAAAATTACAGCTATATACTTTTTAAAAACAGGCGTATTCTAATCTAATTACAATAAACTGCCAACTCAATGCCATTAACAGCCTATTCTGAGTTGAACTAACAATTTTTAAAAGTTAAGTTGTCGTCTTGGTGTCCATTTATGTTTCCAATGATGATAGTTTAGACACCTAGAACTCACCTTTGTACTGTTTCTTCCTTCCCTGATAAGTCATTAAATGATTTAATTTTTCAATGTTGTTCTTGGTAAATGCCATGTTTTATATAATGGAATACATGAATCTGTCCTATCATGAGTTAGTAATTTAATTAAAAGTATATAGTTTGTGTGTATAAATATGTGTGCATGTGTTTCTGTGTGCGTGCAAGGACAGGTTTGATCGCTAGTTATACCCATAGTAGGAATGAAAAAGGGCATTTTATTCAAAAAAAGAACTTAGAGTAGTTTTTTTATGGTTGAGACACCACAGATTTTCCTTTCAGTAGCCCTATCACAATTCAAAATGTTCTAACATCTAATTGGAACATGCCATCTGTTAACCAGGAAGGAAATTCTTTGTGACACATCTATCAATTCATTTGTCAAGTTTGGGATGAAGAAAAATCACTAGTGTAATTCTAAATACTTTGCTGGGGTTAACATCCAATGTAATTAATAGCAACATTCTAAGGAGCCTCCTCAGTTTTAACTCTGTTTCTTGCTTCCTTTAAGATCAATTCCTCTTCTACCACAGAAAAGGAAAATATAGTTTCTTTCCATTAATAATGAGACAGAACCTCGTGTGAGAAAGGCACAGCCCTTTTAAGAGAATGATTAAACTGTGATAAAGGAA
Organism: Homo sapiens; assembly: GCF_000001405.40. NCBI lineage: Eukaryota > Metazoa > Chordata > Mammalia > Primates > Hominidae > Homo > Homo sapiens. Next base: position 39,274,766 of record NC_000011.10, on the reverse strand, counting down.
TCTTAAAAGATTAACCGCAATGGGATGCCATTTTGTAGTCCTAGAAAGAGGTAAGGATCTAGCTACATCTCTAAACTCTTGCAGAGTGGAAAGGCCTTTCGATAAATTGAAGAGAGAACTGACAACACTTTCTCTGATTGCCTGTTGTGAAAAACTAAGGCCTAAGATGATTGTACTCAAGGTTCAAGGACTTAATCTGCTCCAATGAGCCTCTATTAATCTGGCATTAAATAAGCTAAAGTCTACTTTTCCCAATCCAGAAATAAAGGTCCTAGTCACATAATCTGTCCCATAAGCTAGAGAATATTGAATGCATTTTGATTAATATTTATTTCGTAAGTACACTCTTTCTATGTAATGTCAAGATAGGACCTCATAAATTGCTAGTTTTCCTTGGAAATAAGGACATAAGTGGAATATTCATATAGCATTTATTTTCCTTGGATATTCTTATTTAAGTGCACCAAATATACATGATGCTAAGCCTTTACTATTCTAGGGAGGTTTATTCACAAAGTAAACTATGAGAGTAAGATATCCTATTAGTAAATTACAACTACTGTGGTGTAAATATCTGTGTCCCCTCAAAATTCACATGCTAAAATCCTAACCCCTGAGATAATGGTATTAGGAAGTGGGGCTTTGGGGAGGTAATTAGGTCATTTGGGTAAAACCCTCATGACTGGGATTAATTCCCTGATAAAGGAAACTCCAGGGAGCTAGCTACCCCTTCCAACATGTGAGGTCACAATGAGAAGGCACTATCTTTGAGGAATGGGTCCCTCACCAGACAGATTAAGACACCAGACTCTGCTGATGTCTTAATCTTGGTCTTCCAGCCTCTGGAACTGTGAGAAACAAATTTCTGATGTGTATAACCTACCTGTTCTATGATATTTTATTATAGTAGCTTAAATTGCCTAATCCATCAACCATACTCAGTGTATACCAAGGATTTAACTTGTTCTGTGGATTTGCAGAGACAAAACATGAACTAATGAGTGCAATCCATGGGCAAACAATTAAGTTTAAGAAGAGAAGGACTTTATATCAGGCTGCTTAAAAGAGAAAGACTTTCTTTCCAAGAGACGGAGTTCTTAAGAGTGGACTTTTCTGTTCATATTCCCAGCACTGACTTTCTTTTTCTTCTTCCAATAGCCTCTAAGTTTTGGAGAAGGTCTATGTGGTTACCAGGATGTCAACTTACTCCTCCAGGTGTAAACATGTAATCAAGATTAAGCAATCAACCGGGTGCGGTGGCTCATGCCTGTAATCCCAGCACTTTCGAAGGCCGAGGCTGAGGGATCACCTGAGGTCAGGAGTTTGAGACCAACCGGAACAATATGGTGAAACCCTGTCTCTCCTAAAAATACAAAAATTAGCTGGGTGTGGTGGCAGGTGCCTGTAGTCCCAGCTACTCAGGAGGCTGAGACAGAAGAATTGCTTGAACCCAGGAGGCAAAGGCTGCAGTGAGCCAAGATCGTGCCACTGAACTCCAGCCTGGGCAAAAGTGTGAGACTCCATCATAAAAAAAAAAAAAAAAAAAAAATTAAGCGATCAATGCATTTCATTCATGTGTATAATTATTGGCTTATGTTTGTTTGGCAAGTAACAGAATCAGTCTCAGGATCTGTTCTGGAACTTTTGTGACAAATGTGCTCTACTTTTTCATCAATATGACAATACGATCAATATGTATGATAGTAGAATGTCTGAAACTATTGAAAACATGCTTGCTACAGAGTGCGAGGAGAAGGCAATATGAGGATGAGGGTAAAGAGGAAAGACAGGAAAGAATATCATAAGAAAGAAACTGGAGGCCTGATGCCGTGGTGCACCTCCGGATCAAACAATACCTGAAATAAGCCATATCTCTGAACTTAGTGACTACATCAGCAAGTAAATTTCCAGTTTGTTTCTATGTGAGTTTGATTGAAGCTCTGTGTCACTTGGAACCAAAAGCAAACTAACATAACCTGACACTTGACTTGCAGACATGTAGGCTGGGACAGAGATTCTTAAAATTAGCATCATAACAGACTGCTGTGTTGGAGGGAAATTGCTACAATTATAGTTTGAATCACTAAAATTCAGAAGCCTTTCTTTTTAAAATAAATGAAATATAGTGTTTTTATATAAAGATATAGCTATCATTTAGATGTGAAAGGAGTATTTTAATAATCTTGGCAAGAATTGCATATAACTCATAACTTTTTCTTTTCATTGCCTCAGCTCTTGAGTCTATGTGTGTTTATTATGCCTGTGAATATCTTATCACGTATGGTGGAGAGAAACATAGCAGCTGAAAATGAGTGATCTAGAAGCCTGTTTCTGGAGAATGTTTCAAAGGTGATGGAGCTATGAGCTGAAAACAGAAGGCACTGGACAAGTAACCTCTAAAGGCCATACAACCCCTGAGACGTGATTTTACAATAACTGCATTTCTAATTAAATATCAGAAACTGGAATTCTCTTTTTATTTGTTTGCATGTTTTGCATTAAATAAATCATTTTTATTTTTATTTTGTGTTTCTAAAGTGTCTCATTTCTGAAGATAGTCATTACCACACATAAAAGATTTAACTTCCTTTTACCTGGCTGTGAAAGTACGTCAACATCTTAGCCTATATATATTTTTTAAAAAATAAAAAATAAAAAAAATAAGGGCTGGGCAGGGTGGCTCATACTTATAATCCCAGCACTTTGGGAGGCCAAGGTGGGCAGATCACGTGGTAAGGAGATTAAGACCATGCTGGCTAACATGGTGCAACCCCGTCTCTACTAAAAATACAAAAACAAAACCAGCCTGGCGTAGTGGCAGGCACCTGCAGTCCCAGCTACTCGGGAGGCTGATGCAGGAGAAGGGCGTGAACCCAGTGTGTCTGGACTTTATTCCTTCCGGTGGGTTCTTGGTCTCGCTGACTTCAAGAATGAAGCCGCAGACTTTCGCGGTGAGTGTTACAGCTCTTAAAGATGGTGTGTCCCAAGTTTGTTCCTTCAGATGTTCAGATGTGTCTGGAGTTTCTTCCTTTCAGTGGGTTCGTGGTCTCGCTGACTTCAGGAGTGAAGCTGCAGATCTTCACAGTGAGTGTTACAGCTCTTAAAGGTGGCACGTCCATATTGTTGATTCCTCCTGGTGGGTTCGTGGTCTTGCTGACTTCAGGAATGAAGCTGCAGACCCCCTTGGTGAGTGTTACAGCTCTTAAAGGTGGCATGTCCATATTGTTTGTTCCTCCTGGTGGGTTCCTGGTCTTGCTGACTTCAGGAATGAAGCCACAGACCCTCCTGGTGAGTGTTACAGCTCATAAAGGTAGTGCAGACCCAAAGAGTGAGCAGCAGCAAGATTTATTGTGAAGAGTAAAAGAACAAAGCCTCCACAGTGTGGAGGGGGACCGGTGGGGTTGCACTGCTAGCTTGGGTGGCCAGCTTTTATTCCCTTATTTGGCCCCGCCCACATCCTGCTGATTGGTCCATTTTACAGAGCGCTGACTGGTGTGTTTACAGTCCTTTAGCTAGACACAAAGTGCTGACTGGTACATTTTTACAGAGTGTTAATTGGTGTGTTTACAATCCTTTAGCTAGACACAGAGTGCTGATTGGTGTGTTTTTACAGAGTGCTGATTGGTGCATTTACAATCCTTTAGCTAGACACAGAGTGCTAATTGGTGTGTTTTTACAGAGTGCTGATTGGTGCATTTACAATCCTTTAGCTAGACACAGAGTGCTGATTGGTGTGTTTTTACAGAGTGCTGATTGGTGCATTTACAATCCTTTAGCTAGACACAGAGTGCTGATTGGTGCGTTTATAATCCTCTAGCTAGGCAGAAAAGTTCTCCAAGTCCCCACTCCACCCAGCAAGTCCAGCTGGCTTCACCTCTCACCAGGAGGTGGAGCTTGCAGTGAGCCAAGATCATGCCACTGCACTTCAGCCTGAGACTCCGTCTCAAAATAAATAAATAAATAAAAGGTTCAATTTATTTTAATATGTTAGTTCAACATTTGGGTTAATTAATTAAGCTTGCTATGACTTAATATAAATGGAATTATGATAATATTTTTCTTAAAGGTTTTTAATGAGTTTTGACTAAGATCATCCATGTAAACTATTTAGCTTGGTGTGTGGCACATATGGAGCACTCAGTGATTACTTCTATTGGCCTGAAATAAATCTGATGCAACATATGACTTAAATGACATTGATTTATTCTAAACTTTTCCAATATATGCTGAGACTGGAGAATACAATCAATAGTAATATATAATATTTATATATTACAAATTCCAAAGCATTTTGACATACATAATTTTTTTCTGCATAAAAATGAGTTTAGCATCATCATTTACAACTAACAAACAAGAAAATTGAGGCTCAGATAAGTAAAGTGATCACCCTCATCACCATTCATTCACACACACAGAAAATGAAAAGTTCAGGACCTGAATCTAGGCCTTCTGACACTGAGCACATTATTCTTTCTGCTAAAACTTTATTATATTTGGTCATCATAACTCTTTTACCTGAAAAAGCTCAGAATATATCTGTACCATCATGTCACATGCATACTGATAAAGAAAAGGAATATTGAACCATCTTGGAAGTTGGTAGGAAACTCATGCCTGATAAATAATCAAGAATAAATATGAATGACTACAAGCGGGATCCAATGAATTTAATGTACATATTCTTTTTAAAACAATCTTAAAAATATGGTGCCTTTAATTATTGGGCAGTTTTCCCTTGCATGGGACTTGTTTAAAGAATATATGAGGGTTAGGTATAATCAAATTATAATTATCATATTTTACATTAGAATAAGGCTTTACATATTGATGGCCCTTTTTTTTTGAGGTAGGGTCTCACTCTTTTGTCCAGGCTGGAGTGCAGTGGCACAATTACAGCTCACTGCAGCCTCAACTTCCTGGCCTTAAGTGGTCCTCCCAGCTCAGCTTCCCAAGTAGCTGGGGTCGCGGGGGTACACCACCACACCAAGCTGATATTTGTTGTTGTTGTTATATTTATTGTAGAGACAGGGTTTCACCATGTTGTCCAGGCTGGTCTGGAACTCCTGGGTTCAAGCAATCTGCCCACCTTGTCCTCTCAAAGGCATGAGGCACCACATTTGGCCTTTTATGACTATTTTATATGTTTTCTCTCATATTTTTAATTTGTAGATTTGCTCTACAGTATGTTCTACAAATGTAGAAATTGTCATTTTTAGATTAAGCAATATGAACAGTTTTATTTAACATTTCTTATAAATAATTTGTGTTTTACTGAGAAATTTCCAGACTTGCAGCAGACTGTATTTTGGTGTAAGGAAATGTCAAGTAGCTAATAATACACTGTAGAGATGTATTTTGGGGCTGTCTGGATTTGATGTGTAGGAATGGGTATGTTTTAGTGAGTACAAGTACAGTTTAAGGTAAAATATTTGGAAAGGTAATCCAAGCTCTACCACAATGATAAGCTTTTTATCTCTCACAAGACTAATCAAAGAGAATGTTGATGGTATTATTATTCACCTGCTCGTTTGCTGATTTATGCAACTCACTTATTAGTATCATAGAAAATATAGTCGCTTAGGATGTATTCATTACAATATAGCCAGTGGTAGTGTCTCTGCCAGTTGCCACTGTGCACACAGTTTCATGCAACCAGATTTTGTGACTAAGAAATCAATACAGTGAATTGCTAGGGAGATAGGACTCCAACTAGAAAGGGGACAATTTACAGTTCTGGGTTAGTGAATAAATTTAGTTTGAAACCAGTAAGGTGCTGGTTCAAATTTTCACCTTTCATCATTAAGGGTGATGCATTTCATAATAATGATTTTAGGACTTTTCTGAAGTAATATAGGGAACAATGGACGTATGTATGCATTGAGGATGTCAGTTAAGGCATATTGGTCCACTAATCTGACTTAATTCTAATACATTTTGCAATGTCTTTATGAATCAAAAGCTGAGCCTATAGAATTTAGTGGAAGGATTTCCTGGTATCTCTGACGACATCTATTAAACCTTATTCATGGGGCTGTAAATGGCTATTAAAAATCATTGTGCAATAAATGCTCCTTTTTTTCTTTTTCTTAATTTCCTACTAATTTTGTTATGCACACAGGCTTCCCAAAAACTGTTCAAGGAGACATCAGTAGCAAACTTTCATTAAATCCCTCAAATATTTAAAGTATCTGAAGGCTCTTTTCTTCACTTACTAGAGGCTGCTGTGCAACATTGGCTGCACAGATGTTTTTCCTCTCCATGTTGTCATAATTAGAAAACTTCAGCCCTGCTGTAAGGAAGCAGAAGTGATAAGGAATCCTTCAGTCAGTAAATTGCTTTATGAGGTATAAGTGTGTCTGTATAATAGGGAATTATGCCAATGAGAGTGCCATTAAAAACAAAAGGTTTGAAAAAAAGAAAAAGAAAACACAAAATTGACAGTTAAATAGTAAACTTTGTGGTGCTTAACACGAGAAAAAAATGAATTTCTCTCTAAAACCAAAAGACTTTTTAGCGTTTGCTTCCTGCTTCTAAATATATTGAAAGTATCGTATGGGTCACTGCACAAACTGTTGCAAACTGCCTTAAGGCAACTGGAGTCTGTACTTCTATGAAGTTATTTTCAAGAGATAATTAGTAAGCACCAACAATATTTTAGGTGAATGAAGTGTACCCATGCTCCCCACACCTCCAGGTTAAAAGTGTAAGCCTAAAGAATAAATTGTCTGATTAAAGCAAACATTTACAAAATAAATATTAACCCAACTGCTGGGTGAAGTCTCTTCATTTTGTCCTTTCGGGTGCTCTATTCCTGTGGCAGACGGAACAAATCTCCATAGACGATGTTCTGTGATGTATAGTTAGCATCTAGCAAACAGGACTCTTCCACATGTGAACAATACGTTTAGTTAGGAATCACACGTTGTGATACATCCTTGAGAGTAAAAGAATGGAGGTTTACTGATTTCTTTTTTTTTTTTTTTTTTTTCTTTTTTTTGGACGGAGTCTCGCTCTGTTGCCCAGGCTAGAGTGCAGTGGCGCAACCTCAGCTCACTGCAAGCTCCGCCTCTGGGTTCACGCCATTCTCCTGCCTCTGCCTCCCGAGTAGCTGGGACTACAGGCGCCCACCACCACGCCCGGCTAATTTTTCGTACTTTTAATCGAGTCGGGGTTTCACTATGTTAGCCAGGATGGTCTCAATCTCCTGATCTCGTTATTAACCCGCCTCGGCCTCCCAAAGTGCTGGGATTACAGGCCTCAGCCACCACGCCCGGCAGAGGTTTACTGAATTCTTATCCTGTGTTAGGAGACACAAACTAGGAGACACCTTCAAAATATTTTCAGCCAATCTACAATAATAGATAAATAGACACAACTAATAAACACTATCAAATTATTTTCAGCTAATCTACAATAACCTGCATACCTTTAATTTTGCCAGAGGTATTCCATTTCTAATACTCTCATCATAACAAAAAACTATTATTTTTACTGTTTAAAATCCATTTTTGAGCATTCATTATAGTAATTAGCAAAACATTGGATTTTCATTGATAAATGGATGACAGATTGCTTGTGGATACTGCTTTCTTTATAGCATATTAGCTGCTCTGGATTATCGCTTAACCTAAATTGCCCACACAAAACTTGAATAAGTAGTAAGTCATATATTTCAAAATAAATTGTAGACACTACAAAAAGCTTCCCCAATTTTAAACTGAGAAATGTGATTATGGTGACACGTCCAAGAAAAAGGGGTAATAATTAGTTGAAACATATGAAAGACTAAGAAGCTCGAATCCTAAATAATAAAACTCTAAGCTAATTCATGATCTCTTCTGCTGATTAAAAAAATAATGTAGTATTGTTAAAAGCATAAGAACTAGGAAATTGGCCAGGCTCGGTGGCTCACGCCTGTAATCCCAGCACTTTGGGAGGCTGAGGCGGGCAGATCACCTGGGGTCGGGAGTTCGAGACCAGTCTGACCAACATGGAGAAACCCCGTCTCTACTAAAAATACAAAATTAGCTGGGTGTGGTGGTGCATGCCTCTAATCCCAGCGACTCAGGAGGCTGAGGCAGGAGAATTGCTTGAAGCCGGGAGGCGGAGGTTGTGGCTGGCTGAGACGGCACCATTGCACTCCAGCCTGAGCAACAAAAGCAAAACTCCGTCTCAAAAAAAAAAAAAAAAATCTTATGATAGATAATAGAATGGATTCCAATTTTAGCACTAGCTAAATGAACTTTAGCACTAGCTAAATGAACTTTAGCAACTCACTACCCCAAACTCAGTTTCCTCACTTGTGAAATGGGTTGAAATTCTCACCTTTCAAGACTGCTGTGAGAATTAGATATCAACAGAATGACCTTTAAGACAGCAATTCGTCCCACAGGCTCTATAGACATATCTCCCTTCCTTTGGAGTAGCAAAACTGATATCACACCTGATAATTCAGAATGCATAAAAATTATTGCTAAGTACCAACAGAATAAGAAGTGGTTCCGAGAAACTTGATAGGTGAACATAAGAAAACACTAACTTAGAAATTGTATTGAGTTGGATAAAAATCATAACCTTTTCAATTTTAGGTTATCACAAGAATTAGAGCAACATAGACATGAGAGCTGCGTGTTTCAGTGAACTCTAATGGGAGAGGTAATGCATTTAATTCTGAAGGACTTTGAACCACAATGAATCAATGTGGCTCTCCATTGAAAATGGCTTAAATTTTGCTTGCTGACAATTTTATTATTAATAAATCTGTTTTAAACATGAGAGTACAGGTATCTCTGACATACTAATTTAATTTCCTTTTGATATATACTAGGAAATGTGATTGTTGGATCATAAAACAACTCTATTTTTAATTATTTGAAGTACTTCTATATTTTTTTCTATAATGGCCTTACTAATGAACATTCCCACCAACAATGTATAAGAGTTCCACTTTGTCCACATCTATGCCAGCATTTGTTATTTTTTCTTTTTATTCATGACCATTCTAAGTGAGATGATATCTCATTGTGGTTTTGATTTGTGTTTTCCTGATGATTACTGCTGAGAATGTTCTCACATCCCTATTGGTCATTTGTTTGTTTTCCTTTGAAAAAATGTCTATTCAGGTCTTTTGCCTATTTTTAAATCAGATTATTTGTTTTTCTGCTATTGAGTTCATTATATTCTGAATATTAACTCCTTGTCAGATGGATAGTTGGCAAATATTTCCTCCCATTCTGTAGGTTTTCTCCTTACTCCATATATTTTGTTGTTGTTGTTGTTGTTTGTTTTTTTGTTTGTTTTTTTTTTGCTTTGCAGAAGCTTTGTAGTTTGATGTGATCCCATTTGTCTGTTTTTGCTTTTGTTGCCTTTCTGGTGGAGGCCTTATCCAAAAAATCCTTGCCCAGACCAATGTCATAAAGTGTTTCCCCTGTTTTCTTCCATCACTATTCACAATAGCCAAGATATGGAATCAACATATTTTCATCAATGGTTAAACAGATAAAGACAATGTGGTATACATACACAAAGGAATATTATTCATCCATAAAAAATGAATGAAATCTTGTCATTTCTGGCAACATGGTGAACCTGGAGGGCATTATGTTTACTAAAATAAGCCAGGTGCATAAATACAAATGCCACATGATCTCACTTACATATGGAATCTAAAAAATAATAATTTCATAGACGTAGTAGAATAGTGGTTATTGGAGACTGGAAAAGGTAGTGGGGGAACTGGCAATGGGGAGAGATTGGTCAGTGTATACAATGTTGCAGCCAGATGGGAGGAATAAGATCTGGTGTTCTAGTACACACTGTGGTGACCATGGTTAATAGTATTTTATTGTATATTTCAAAATAGGTAGAAGAGTGCATTTTGAATGTACTTACCACAAAGAAATAATAACTGTATCAGGTGATAAATATGCTAAATAACCTGATTTGATCATTATACAATGTAAACATGTATTGAAACATCACACTGTACCCCATAAATATATATAATTATTACATGGCAATTAAAAATAAAATTTAAAAATAAAAAATTGTATTCTCTTATGAATTTCACTCTCCTGTAATTACAAGACAAATAATTTCACTTTGGTTTCTTTTTTCCTTTTCCATTTTTCAAATTCTTTAAGAAAATGAGGCTTGAAGAACCCTCTCACCGATTGTTGATAATTGACAAGTAAATGTTTGCAACTGTTTCTTTGAATTGATACATACAAAATGTGAATGATGCTGCTGAAAATAACAGTCATTAGAATACCTGCAAATTTTTATCTCTAAAGATATTCCTTTAACTGCATGAGAAAAATAAACCCTAGTCCTATCAAGAAACACTCTTTTAGAATAAAAATTATTTTATTTCCTTAAAGAAGTCTGTAAAATTCAAGGAGGAATTTCTATTAGAGGTATGTAGGAAGCCACTTAGTCTTGCTCACATGCTTTAGTAATTTCTTCTTCAAAATTACCACTAAAATTACCCTAGAAGTTTATGTTTATTTAAGAATAGCAATTTCCTTCCCTATATTATGTAATTTTGAAATAAAATCACATAATTTCTATTACAAATTAATATAATTGAAGAATCTTGCTTTATGCTTATAACTCTAAAATTTTTGAGAAAAATGTAGAGCGTTAAAATGTACATTTCAGGTTATAAGAGTATTTAGAGTATTGTTTCACTTGCAGATTATTGCCTGGAATTTATTTAGGCTGAATTATATTCTGCCTTGGTTGGTCACAGTCTGAAAAACCTCTAAACTATATCATAAAAAATAATAATATCCAACAATTATTGAGTACTTACTAGATGTCAGGCACTCTTCTGAGCAGTTTGCTTTGGGGTTACCTAATTCAATCTTAATATCAGATTTAGCCAAGGAATATCATGAATAGTTGGGGCTTTTTTACTATAACTTATTATTTTTAATTGAAACCATGAATTGAAAATCTGTACCTTAAGCTTCTTTACATTGTCCTTCATGGTCTTCAAGCTTAGAGGACACAGTGTCCCATTTCTTTTTAAAACAAATCTGAGTTCCGTATAATATTCTTCAAACTCTATTTCTGCTTTCAGCTCTATTTCATATTTCACTCTCTTTAAATTTAAATTTCTCTCTTCTTTTCTGATTCCTTTTTCCCTCTGTTCTCTGCCTCTTTTTCTTCCTTTATATTTATATTTCTCTGTCTTTTCTTAATCTTCTTCTCTTTGTTCCTTTATTTCTCCTCTTTCTTTTTACTATATTCTAAATTGTGTTCTCCCTATTTTATTTTTCATCCCTGTTTGTTTCTCTTTTTTTCCTTCCTCCACCAAATATTGGCCATCAGCATGTATCCAATTCACTGATATTTCTCAGCATTTTAAGATAGGTGGTTTGTCTTACAATGATGTCGTCTCTCTTTCTGGGAACATCTCACCCAGTTTAAGGATAGATGATAGCAATCCCAATCCCATGCTGTTCATAACACGTCTGTCATAAAGAAACAATATGCTGGGAAGGATGCTGTACCCTGCAAAGCCACAGAGATGGAGCTGTCCAAAACCATGGGAACCCACCTCTTGCTCCAGTGTGACCCAGATGTGAGACATGGAGTCAAAGAAGATCACTTTGGAGCTTTAAGACTGTACTACCCTTCTGTATTTTGGACTTGCATGGGGCCTGTAGCCCCTTTGTTCTGGCCAATTTCTTCCATTTGGAATGGCTGTATTTACCCAATTCTTGCACCCTCATTGTATCTAGGAAGTAACTAACTTGTTTTTGATTTTACAGGCTCATAGGTGGGAGGGACTTGTCTTTTCCCAGATGAGACTTTAAACTGTAGACTTTTGAGTTAATGCTGAAATGAGTTGAGACTTTGGGGGACCACTGGGAAGGCATGATTTGTTTTGAAACATGAAGATATGAGATTTCGGAGGGACTGGGGTGGAATGATATAGTTTGGCTCTGTGTCCCACCCAAATCTCATCTTGTAGCTCCTATAATTTCCAAGTGTTGTGGGAGGGATTTGGTGGAGAATTACTGAATTATGGGGGTGGGTCTTTCCCATGCTGTTCTCGTGATAGTGAATGGGTCTCACGAGATCTGATGGTGTGAAAAAATGGGAGTTTCTCTGCACAAGCTCTCTTTTTGCCTGCCACCATCCACGTAGGATATGACTTGCTCCTCCTTGCCTTCTGCCATGATTGTGAGGCCTCCCCATCCACATGGAACTGTAAGTCCAATGAAATCTTTTTCTTTTGTAAATAGCCCAGTCTCCAGTATGTCTTTATCAACAGCGTGAAAACAGGCTAACACTCTACATTTCCTATACATCTGTTATTCTGTATTCTTTGACATATATCTCCCTATTTCCTTCCTATCCCCTTCACTTCTGGTAACCACTGCTTTATCATCCTTGCATATTTGAGCTCTTTTTATTTAAAAAAAATGCCTCATATAAGTAAGATTATGCAATAATTTTCTTTCTCTGTCTGGCTTATTTCACCTAGTATAATGTCGTCTATAGTAGTTCCATTCATGTTGTAGACCTCCTTCTTTTTAGGGGTGATTAGAAATAATCACAGAAATGTGTGTGTGTGTGTTTATGTGTGTGTTCGTGACATTGTCTTTACCCATTTGTCTGTCTATGTGTATTTATATTGTTTACATGTGTTGCTATTGTAAATAATACTGCAATCAACTTGAGAGTACAGATATATTTGCAAGTGTCTATTTTATCTCTTATGTGTATGTATTCAGAAAATGGATTGCCAGGTCACATAGTAGTTTTATTTTTAACTTCTTTAGGAACCTTCATACTGCTTTCCATCATGGCTATAGCAAACTACATTCCCATCAACAGTATACCAGGGTTCCCTTATCTCCAAACCCTTGCCAACATTTATCTTTTTCTTTTTAATTAATAGTCATCCTTATGGGTATGAGATGATATCTCATAATGGTTTAATTTGCATTTCCCTGGTGATTGCTTATGTTGAGAATATTTTACATCTTTTTATATTTTGTATTTTAAAGCTTATTGTAGCTATAGTTATTTTTTACTATAACTGTAGCTACAGTTATATTATTTTGACTTTTAACCTTTGTACTGGAGATTTGAAAAATTAACACATCACCATTACAGTAATAGAGTACTTTGGGTTTGATTATGAATTTTCCTCTACCAATTGGGTTTATACATTTTTATGTTTTCATGATAGTAATTATCCCTTTTTTTCAGTTGAACTTCTCCCTTAAGCATTTGTTTTAAGTCCAGTCTAGTGATGATAAATTATGTCAGCTTTTGTTTCTCTGGGACAGGGTTTATTTCTCTTTTATTTCTGAATGCATTGCTGGGTATAGTATTCAGGATTGATAAGGGTTTTATGTATTTATTTTTCGCAACCCTTTGAATATAAGGCAACCCATTCCCCCTGGTCTGTGATTTTTTTTTTCTGCAAAATCCTCCCATAGTCTAATAGAGATTCCCTCACAGGTGACTTGAAGCTTTTATCTTGCTCTTTTTAGAATTCTCTCTTTGTCTGTGCCTTTTTTTTCAATTTGTAAAACATAGAATGCTTCACAAATCTGTGTGTTGTTGTTGCACAGGGGCCATGCAAATCTTCTCTGTATTATCACAATTTTAGTATATGTGCTACTAAAGTAAGCAATAACTCTAACACTCCATAAAGCAGTGATTTGTATCTGGATTTACATATCAGAGATTTAATGCTTACAGTGTTATGATAACTGACCCTAGAACACTCAGATAATAAATTATAAAGCCAGAATTTTGACTCATGCTTTCCTGATATCAAAACTTATACTCTTACTTGTATTACTAGACTGCCTATTAAAGAACTCTTTCCCTTCATGAGTCAATATCCATTACCTCATATAAGTGTACTCGTTGTTAAGTTTGTTTTATATGTATATTTTTAGGGTGGATTCCTTACACATGCTTTGTCACTATGGTAGTAGTGACAATATGAATTTACAGCATTAGGAAATAGATAACTGGAGAATGTAAAATTTACCCTGAATATCCTGAAGAGTCTTCACAGGCTGAGGTATCAGTACAGTACTGTATAATTTTTGAAGATATTACTTTCTATAACTCAAACAACAAACTGAAATTTCTAGTGTTTCTGTTACTTGTATTGGCACATGTACAGACATAGATTTGTAACGTTGGCCAGGCGCGGTGTTTCACACCTGTAATCCTAGCACTTTGGGAGGCCAAGGTGGGCAAATCACAAGGTCAGGAGATCGAGACCATCCTGACTAACGTGGTGAAACCCCGCCTCTACTAAAAATACAAAAAATTAGCCAGGCTTGGTGGCAGGCGCCTATAGTTCCAGCTACTCGGGAGGCTGAGGCAGGAGAATGGCGTGAACCTGGGAGGCAGAGCGGCAGTGAGCCAAGATTGCACCACCGCACTCCAGCCTGGGCGACAGAGCGCGACTCTGCCTCAAAAAAAAAAAAAAAAAAAAAAAAAAAAAAAATTTGTAACGTTGCCAAATATTGCATGGCAGGCAATCTTCTTTGTAGAACATGGAATTAAAGCCATCAGGACATGATAATAATGTGAAAAGTATTAGCTTATTAATAGCAAATTTTATAATCCTTAATCACTCAGTACATTACCAGCAAATATTCTGAAGTTCAGAATTCAATATTAAAATCTAAAGAATTGGTTGTTAGCAAAAGCTAAAGTCACTGGGCGTTCAATTTTCAGCCCACCATGATGTCTACCACCTTATAATTCTATGGGGTAACAGGTCAGATATATTAATTTGACCAAAACTTGAGGTGATACTAATTTTAAACATTTCAAAATTGTTAAAAAGAATAGTAATTTCCTCACATTAGCTTTGTATTGATTGACTACTTTATTCCTCTTTTTTTTTTTTTTTTGAGACTGTTTTACTTTGTCACCCAGGCCAGAGTGCAATGGTGCAATCTCGGTTCACTGCAACCTCTGCCCCTCGGATTCAAGTGATTCTCCTGTCTCAGCCGCCCGAGTAGCTGAGACTACAGGTATGCACCACCACACTTGGCTAATTTTGTGTTTTTAGTAGAGATGGGGTTTCTCCATTTTGGTCAGGCTGGTCTCGACCTCCCGACCTCAGGTGATCTGCCTGCCTCGGTCTCCCAATATTTTATTCCTTTTTGTGTTTAACACTATCCACCATTCCTCCACCCCTCTGATTCCTGTCTAACTGGAGGAAAGTCACCTTGTTGACACACATCTCAGAAATATTGTGTTTAAAGATATACAGAGTACCTTGAATTAGGAAAAGCTTTCAATAACCCATACAGTCTATAAATGCTAGAAAAAAAATCCATACTGGTGCAAAAATATATTCCAAGCTCTCTACAAGCCTCTGGATTATACAGCCATTATTAATTAAAATAATTCCAGTCAGAACTAAATAGAATCGAACAGGACACTTTGTCTTGCATCTACTAAGCCCCTGCACTTTTATTTTCTCCGTTAGGGCTCTTTTACCAAGTCCTGGGAAATTTTGTCTGGTTTACTCTGCTTACTTGTATGTGGAATGAAATCACACTTGAGTATATTGCCACCCTTTTCTTTTTCATGAGTTCAATTAAACAGTAAGAAAGATCAACATGGGTTTGAAGGCCAGCTATATAACCTTGAATAACTATTCAAGTTTTTTAAAACTTAATTGTTTCATTTGTTAAATAAGGCCAAGGGTGGTTGTCATTGTTTTACACAAAATGCTTCTTTGAAACAATTATCCCAAATTTTCCTAGAAAAGATATATTTTAGATAGAACCGTTTGGAAAACTCTATATACTATGTTATCATCATTAGATATCAAAATTATATTATTATATTAATGATTCTGAGCAGTACTAAAGTAAGGAAACCTGTTTATAGTAATTCAACATTTCTAAAACATATTGATTAAATAAGCTGTGTGTTTAGTACTTATTAACCTGCTGCAGAAATAGACACTTACGGAATACACTTTGGAAAATGCTGTTTTAAGGATTAAAAGTTGTTTTCAGCCTAGATCACATTGCTAAATTCTAGTCTACAACTACATATTTGATATCCACACTTAGATATCTATCTAGAAAAGTAAAAGGTTTGGAAATGAAATTCTGATTTTTCTCTTTAAATCTGCATCTTATGTACTCATTCTAAACTCAGTAAATATCAGATCAATTATTTGGCTGAGACCAAAGATGTTGTGATTATTCTTGATTCCTCTCTTTGTCTCTTACTCCACATCATGCTCATAAAAAAAATCTTATTTAAAAATACAAAAAATTTGGCTAGTTCTTACCAACTCCACCATTATCACACTAGCCCAAGTCACCCTCTTTCACTTAAATTTCAGCAATATTTTTTGGCTTGGTTTCCATGATCTTTTCATTCTCTTCTACAGTCTTTTTTCAACATAGCAGTTGAAAGTTGTGTTTTTAAATGGAAGTCTCACTGTGTTATTCCTGCTCAAAAATGTCTAATATTTTTTAAGTTGTGCAGATTAAAAGCCAATATCCATGTAAATGACCCCAAAAGTTCTTCAGGATCTGCCTCAGCCTTTTAATTCTCAGACTTCATTTCCTGCTACACCCTTTTTGCCCTCTTTCTTTGAGCTAAAGTAGAATTTTAGTAATTTTTAAGCACAAAGCATGTGTATCAGTCCATTTTCACGCTGCTGATAAAGACACAACTGAGACTGGCAATTTACAAAAGAATGAGGTTAAATGGACTTACAGTTCCACATGACTGTGAGGCAGGTGAGGCCTCACAATCACAGCAGAAGGTGAAAGGCATATCTCACATGGTGGCAGAATACAGAAGAGCTTGTGCAGGGAAACTCCCCATTTTAAAACCATCAGATCTTGTGAGACTTATTCGCTATCCTGAGAACAGCATAGGAAAGACCTGCCCCCATGATTCAATTACCTCCCACTGGGTCCCTCCCACAATACATGGGAATTCAAGATGAGATTTTGGTGGAGACACAGCCAAACCATATCATTCTGCCCCTGGCCACTCTCAAATCTCATGTCCTCACATCTCAAAACCAATCATGCCTTTCCCCCAAAGTTTTAACTCTTTTCAGCATTAACTCAAAACTCCACAGTCCAAAGTCTACTCCAAGACAAGGCAAGTCTCTTCCACCTATGAGCCTGTAAAATCAAAAACAAGTTAGTTACTTCCTAGATACAATGGGGGTACTGGCATTGGGTAAATACAGCCATTCCAAATGGAAGAAATTGGCCAAAACAAAGGGCTACAGGCCCCATGCAAGTCTAAAAATCCAGTTGGGCAGTCAAATCTTTTTTTTTTTTTTTTTTTTTTGAGACAAAGTCTCGCTCTGTTGCCCAGCCCAGAGCGCAGTGGCTCAATCTCGGCTCACTGCAAGCTCCTCCTCCTGGGTTCACACCATTCTTCTGCCTCAGCCTCCTGAGTAGTTGGGACTACAGGTGCCCACCACCACGCATGGCTAATTTTTTTGTATTTTTAGTAGAGACAGGGTTTCACCACGTTAGCCAGGATGGTCTCAATCTCCTGACCTCGTGATCCACCCGCCTTGGCCTCCCAAAGTGCTGGGATTACAGGCATGAACCACCACGCCTGGCCCTGGGCAGTCAAATCTTAAAGCTCCAAAATGATCTCCTTTGACTCCGTGACTCATATCCAGGTCATACTGATGCAAGAGGTGGGATGGGAACTGGAGCAAGGGTGACTCCTCTTATGTTCTAGCCTAAGACTGGCAGCATTTTACCCCTGTCCTAGAGATTTGTGGAATTTCGAACTTGAGAGAAATGATTAAGGTCAACTGGTGGAAGAAATTTATAAGCAGCAAAGCATATGAGAAGTGACCTGGGTGCTGTTAAAGGCATTCAGTTTTATAAAGGAAGCAAAGCATAAAAGTTAGGAAAATAGGAAAATTTGCAGCCTGACAATTGTGATAGAAAAAGAAATCCCATTTTCTGAGGAGAAATTCAAGCCAGCTGCAGAAATTTGCATAAGTAATGAGGAGCTGAATGTTAATCTCCAAGACAATGGGGAGAATATCTCCAGGGCATGTCAGAGGTCTTCACAGCAGTCCTTCCCATCATAGGCCTGAAGGCCTAGGAGGAAAAAGTGGTTTCATGGGTTGGGCCCAGGGTCCCTGTACTGTATGCAGCCTAGGAAGTTAGTGCCCTGTGTTCTAGCCACTCCCATCATTGCTAAAAAGGGCCAAGCTTGTCCCATGCCTTATGAGGGTACAAGTCCCCAACCTTGACAGCTTTCATGTGGTGTTGAGCCTGTGAGTGCACAGAAGTCAAGAACTGAAGTTTGGGAACCTCTGCCTAGATTTGAGAGGATGTATTGAAATGCCTGGGTATCCAGGCATAAGTTTGCTGCATGGGCGGGGCTCTTATGCAGTACCTCTTCGAGGGTAGTACAGCAGGGAAATGTAGGGTAGGAGTTGCCACACAGAGTCCCTACTGGGGCACTGCCTAGTGGTCTGTGAGAAGAGGTCTGCTGTCCTCCAGGTTTAACTGAACTGTAAGTCAATTAAATATCTTTTCTTAATAAATTACTTAGTCTCATGTAGTTCTTTATAGCAGAGTGGTTGGAGCAGTTTTCAGGGTTCAGAAAAAGACAGGAAGATTTGGGAAAGTTTGAAACTTCCTAGAGACTTGTCGAATGGTTTTGACCAAAATGTTGACAGTGATATGGATAATGAAGTCCAGGCTGAGGTGGTCTCAGATGGAGAGAGGAACATATTGGGAACTGGAGCAAAGGCCATGGTTGCCATGCTTCAGCAAAGAGACTGATGGCATTTAGCTCCTGCCCTAGAGATCTGTGAAACTCTGAACTTGAGAGAGATAATTTAGGGTATCTGGCAGCATACATTTCTAAGCAGCAAAGCATTCAAGATGTGACCTGGCTGTTTCTGAATGCATACAGTCATATGTGTTCACAAAGATATGGTCTGAAATTGGAAATTATGTTTAAAAGGGAAGCGGAACATTAAAGTTTGGAAAATTCAAAGCCTGACTATGTGATAGAAAATAAAAACCCATTTCCTGGGAAGAAATTGAAGCTAGCTGCATAAATATGCACAAAGTAATGAGGAACCTGTTATTATTAGCCAAGGCATTGGGAAAATGTCTCCAGGGCATTTCAGCAATCTTAATGGAAGCCCCTCCCATCACAAGCCCAGAGGCCTAAGAGGGAAAAATGGTTTTGTGGACTGGGATCAGGGCCCTCACTGCTCTGTGAAACTTTGGGATATAGAGCCCTGTGTCCCCAGTGCTCCAGCTCTACTCGAGGCTAAAATAGGACAAGGTACAACACAGGCTGTGGCTTCAGAGGGTGAAAACCCCAAGCCTTGGAAATTTCCATGTGGTATTGGGCATGTGGATGCATAGATGGCAAAAACTGAGGTTTGGAAACCTGTGTCTACATATCAGAGGAGGTATGGAAACAACTGTATGCTCAGGGAGAAGTCTGCTGCAGTAGCAGTGCCCTCATGGAGAACCTCTGCTAGGGCAGTGCAGGAGGGAAATGTGGGATTGGAGCCCCCATACTGAGTCCCCACCGGGTCACTGCCTAGTAGAGCTATGAGAAGAGGGCCATCATCGTCCAGACCGCAGAATGGTAGATCCATTGACAGCTTGCACTGTGTGCTTGGGAAAGCTCCAGGCATTCAACAGCAGCCTGTGAAAGAAGTTTCAGGGGCTATACCCTGCAGAGTTGCAGCAGCAGAGCTGCCCAATAGCTTGGGAGCCCACCTATTGCGTCAGCATGCCCTGGATGTGAGACATGGAATCAAAGGAGATTATTTTGGAGCCTTAAGTTTTAAGATCTGCCCTGCTGGGTTTCTGACTTGCATGGGGCCTGTTGCCCCTTTGTTTTGGTCAATTTCTCCCTTTTGCAATGGCAACATTTACCCACTGTCTGTACCTCCATTGTGTCTTGTAAATAACTAACTTGTTTTTAATTTTACAGGCTCATAAGTGGAAGGGACTTCCCTTGTCTCAGATGAGACTTTGGACTTGGACTTTTGAGTTAATGCTGGAATGAGTTAAGATCGGAGCGACTGTTTGAAAGGCGTGATTGATTTTGAAATGTGAAAAGGATATGAGGTTTTGGAGGCGTCAGGAGTGAAATGATATGGTTTGGCTCATGTCCCCATCCAAATCTCATCTCAAATTGTAATCGCCACCTTTGAGGGTGGGACCTGTTAGGAGGTGATTGGATCATGGAGGTAGGTTTTCTTCCTTGCTGTTCTTGTAACAGTGAATTCTTATGAGATCTGATGGCTTAGAAGTTTCTCTCTCTCTCTCTCCCCCCACCCTCTCTCTCTGCCTTTCCCTCTTAGTCCAATCTGGCAGTGCTTCTTCTGGCATAACATTCCCCCATTCCCCCAGACCTTTATAGTTTCCTGCAAATATATCACTAGGATTTCTCAATAAACATGAGATTTCTTCACATTTTTTTTTGATAATCCAATCTATATTCCCAGATTAGGCTGAGGAGGTTGAGGAAAACCCTGAGTCAATCTCTTGCTTTTGTTGTCACTACTCTCACTCCCTTCATGTCTCTCTAATAGGACATGTTGTGATTATATTAGAGCCACCCAGATAATCCACAATAATTACCTCAATCTACCTAATCACATCTGCAACATCCCTTTGTCGTATTAGATAACATAATTACAGGTTTCAGTGATTAAACATGGATTTTTGAAGATATCTCAAATAATTATTACATATTTTACTTCCTGGAGAAACTCAGCAATTAGCATTGATATATTGCCTCTCCTCCACTTGACTTCAGCCAAAAGGCCAAGAAGCAATTGCCTCTCCTCTGCTATAAGCATGCATTTAGAATTCAGCCAAAGAATAAAAAGGAAACAAGTTTCCAGAAAAAAAAATGAAAATTACCAACCCTATTTGGAATAAAAATTAAACCTGAATGGCTATATAACTCTTTTCAAACTAATTCATAGTGCAGTTATCTAGCCAAAAATATACCAGGCCAATAATATTTTTTTATTCAGGGATCTAATTTAAGATGGTCCTTTTTTTCAGACTTGTACAGGATGTACCAGAACACAACCCATCAGAAAAGAAAAACTCTCCTTTATGAGGTGATTACAGCTTTAATATCAAAATTAGGTAATGACAGTATAAAAGGAAAATTATAGATCAATTTCATTTATAAAATATAAGCAAAATTCTAAATAAATATTAAAAACTTGTCTAATAAGGGATATAAAAGTAATGCATAATGATTATGCTGTGTTTAAATAAGAAAATTTGGCCAGGCGCAGTGGCTCATGGCTGTAATCCCAGCACTTTAGGAGGCTGAGGTGGGTGGATCACTAGGTCAGGAGTTCAAGAACAGCCTGGCCAAGATGGTGAAACCCTGTCCCTACTAAAAATAGAAAAAATTAGCCGGGCATGGTGGCGGGCGCCTGTAATCCCAGCTACTTGGAAGGCTGAGGCAAGGAATTGCTTGAACCCAGGAGGCGGAGGTTGCAGTAAGCCCAGATCGTGCCACTGCACTCCAGCCTGGGTTACAGAGTGAGACTCTGTCTTAAAAAAAAAAAAAAAAAAAAGTATCAGAGTTTTTCATCAAAATGGGAGAACAATGAGGAATAAATAGTTATTTTATTAAAGTGTTTGATCAAATTGAACACCTAATGAATTTTAAAATCTTAACCATATTATATAAAACAGAAATATTTTTATTCTAATAAAAATTTTCAAAATCTACATAATATATTAAATATAGTTATTAAATGTTAAAAGCTTTCCACTTAAAATCTAGAACAAATCAAAAATGCACACCATTTCAGTTTCTATGTAAAAATTCCCTGGATACCTAGTCGTTATAATAATAAAAATGAAATAAGCAGAAGGTAAATTACAGAGTTAAAGAAATTATTATTTTTCTTAGATGATATAACTGTCAAAGTAAAAAACTCAAGACAGTATGTAAACAATTTATTTAAATTATTAAGACCATTTAACATGTTTGCCAAATGTACAATAAACATAATATATCAAATGCATTCCTCTGCACTAGCAGCAAATATTTTAAAAATACGGTTTTAAAATGTGACACATTTTGTTGTTATAACAGTAAAATATAAAGTGTCTATTAATAAATCTAAAAAATCATAAAGCCTGTAATATTATTGATTTTAATTAAAATATAGATAGAAATAAAATAACTAAGAAAATGACGTCAATAGAAGGAATTTGCTATGCTTATAAATAAGATTTAAAAAATTAGAAAAGCCTTTATTCTCCTTAACTTAATCTGCCAATGAAATCAGTTTATCAGATCTTTCTAATACTGATCTGCATGGGCAAAGGACTGAATATAACAAAGGCAATGTTTAAATTGCACATGATGGAGGAACTTGTTCCACAACATGAGAAAACTTACTATAAAATCATATTAGTTACCATCCTGTCAAAATCCTGGAGGGATATAGACATTTCCCAATTAAACAGAACTGAAATCCAAGAAAGAAATATCCACATTTCTATGGAAACTTCATACATGGCAGAAATACACTTGCAGATCAGAATGGAAGAAAAAGAGAAATTAATACTGATGGAAAAATTGATTATCTCTTTTGAGAATGTTCTGGGTCTATAACTCTCATCAATAGCAAACACCAATTTCATGTAGTTTAATAAACAGAGAGAGCAAAACTAGAATAATATTTTATCATATCAGTATAGGCAACTTTTTCTAAAGAAACACAAGTAAAGTAAAAATTTAAAAAGAATAGAATTTCTAAGGTATGGAGTATGGAGAGGTAAAATATTGACTTTAAAGTAGAGATGCCTAACAACCTCTACTTTCACTGAATGATCAAAGTTTCTAAATCATAAATATCATATACCCCTGGTTTGATGCAATGAGTAGGACAGTTTTCTCAAAATCCATATACTCAGTCTCACCATGAGAAAACTTCAGATAAACCCAAATTGAAAACTATTCTACTAAATCTTAATAATTACCCTTCAAAAGTGTTAAGGTTATAAATAACATGAATAGGATGAGAAAATGTCACAGACTGAAGAAGACTATGACAAGATGACTTAATGCAACATGGTATCCTGGCAAAGAAAAATAGAATTCGTAAAAAATTCGGTGGAATCAAGTCTGTAGGTTAGTTAATGGCATTTGACCAATATTAATTTCTTAGTTTTGAAAAATGTGCCCTGGTTAATTAAGATATTTACAGTATAGAAAGCTGAGTGAAGATCTATAGGAACTCTACAATGTCTTTACAATTCTTGTGAAAATCTAAAATTATTTCACAATAAAACTTTTAAAAAGATTCCTGATTTGAATACATTCAAACAATATCAAGAAAAAAGAATTCTATCATAAGACTTTATAATTTAGTTTTAGAGACAAATTTGGAAGAAAATATTGCAATGCCTGTAACTGAACATAGATTCATATTCAGAACAGATCAAAAGTGCTACAAAACATAAAACATCACATAAGTAAAAGAGAAACAAACTTTTTGCAAACATCACCTGAAATGAAAAATAAAAAATCCAATATGCTCATCCATTGACTGAAGCTAAGTAAATTGACTTAAATACACTGGGGAGAAATACAGGCATAGCAATATCTAATCAACTCATATATTCAAATAATCCTTAATTCAGCCATTTCACTTTGTTTATTCACTAACTTTCCACATACGTGAACAAGGAAACATGCACAAGAATGACATTTACATTATTATAAAACTAGAAAAAGTTTAAATGTTTACTTAAGAAGAGAACAACTTAATATAGGAATGTTTTTGCAATAATATACTATACAAAAATTAAAATAAGTCAATTCAATGTAAATGCTGAAATTCATTGCTGAAAATTGCTCAAAAGTTGTTGCTGAAAAGAACAGAGTTAATTTTTATAGATATGAATTTATATGTATAAAATAATACCATTAAAATATTATCAAAACATTCAAAACAACGGATAGGTGGGACAATTATAAAGATATGTTGGTAATGATAAAAACAGATTCAAGATTGTGAATTTCTCTGAAAGGTGTGAAGAGAAAATGCTGAGGAAGGAGGACATGCACAGTGAGGCTTCAACTGTTTTAGAAAAGTTATACAGATGCATATTGCACAAATTATTTTTTTAATTCATAGGTGTCACCTAGGTAAAAAGGAGCAGGATTGAATGAAAGAGAATTTTATAGGTTTATGTCACATTGAAGAAAAAACCCAAGGCTCTAACTGGAGTGGAGCATATTAAAAAATACTGGCGACCTCATTACTTTAAATCTCCCCCAGATTTAAGGATCATAGTGCCAGAGAAATGGCTGAGCTTCTATCAGGCTGCTCTTTACAAACTGCTCTGTAAGTAGTTGTGAAAATTATTAATATGCTTCTCTCATTCTATTGGCATCGATCCTTTATTTCTGGCATTTTGTAAGATGCATATTTACATGTTGCACTTATACTCTAGGGGCTAATTTTTGAGTTTCGGAACAAAATTAAAAATGTTGGAAGATTACATAAACTTAAATGTTATATTTAAATGATTGAGAGGCACTAAGGCAAAATGTCAGCAGGATTCAAACTACTTTACTAGGAAACTAGTTCCATATGATGGAAATTGTAGCCCTAGACCCATATCCCATTAAAATGTAAATAGATATCCCAATATGTTTCTTCCAAACTTTTTTAATAAAAATTGAGCTGTATTTTATGCATGAGGCTGTAGCTAAAATTGTCTTGTTGCACATGTGTATTGGGATTACTGGAGGTTTTAGTATTTGATGCCAAAAGACTTGAAACTCATACCCAGAAATCCATCTAGAGAAAAGTGAGGTTAAGCTACTATTCCTCATATTGTGTGTGCATTGTGGATTACTGGACCAGATCCAGAAAGTTCACATTAGTTTGAACCAACTTGGAAAACCTATAAAAAGATACGAGTAGATTAGTTACTGTGAGATTCTTTAGAGTAGGCAGCTCTCACATATTCTAGTTTCTTTATAACTGAAGCATCACTGTATTAATGCATCTGTATGTACTTAGAAACATTTTTTTCTCTAGTCAATTATCCCTATACTTGCCAAGAGTAGAAGAATGTGGTGGTTCAGAACAGCAGCTTGGGAGAAATATAGTTGCATATAAAATCTGTACCCACTCATCCACATGCTACATGAGTGACCAAGAGGTAAGTTTCCCAAGCTTTCAGAGTTAATTTTCATCACCTGAAGTGGGAGTTATACGAAATACCTACCTCATAATGGTTTTGTACGGAATGAATTACATAAAGTATCTAGGATGATATTGTAGACATACTAGGGAGTGAAAAGTGATAATTATTTTTATTTATGGCATTATTATTACAAAGCAGACTTAAAATGTAAAGAAATACATTTTATCAAATCTTTGATCTTAATTCTATGTATGTATTTGCTATTATTGATGTTTATAGGAAATAATGTCTTTTAAAAGGAAAATTTATAGGGTGATCATTTCCTATTCCATTGAAACTATCTCACTGCCTCCTCCCCTTAATTCTCTGAAGAAATTGTCTTTCCTATTTCAGAGAAGTGCTACCAAGGGTACTTGAATGATCATCATATTTCTCCAAGTGAAGTAATCTTTTCCCATCTCTGAATCCTCATATTTTGACTCTTTAAACATTTAATATTTTCTTCTTTATGTCATAATTATTTGCATTCATTTAGTTTGCACCACAACTAGCTTTCAAACTTTTTGACTAACACTTTCACTAAGGAATACATTTTATAGGGTGATCCAGAGTATGCATTCTTATTCTCACCTTTACCATTCAGGCTACTCTAGTCTACTGTTTTCTAGTCTTAGAACAGTATACCTGTTATTACAGACCACGATAAAAATTGTGACATTTTGGAATTAAGAAACTGCATGGAATGAGAATAAGTTTTGTTAATGTGTCAGCAAAACAACTGGCTATTGCAAAATACACATATCCCATGGGTCTTCTCCCCTCTCCTCTCTTCTCCTATCCTTTCCTCTTGTTTTCTCTTCTCGTCTCTTCTCACTACCTTATCCTATCCAAATCTCTTTTTTATCCATCTGTCTCTTCTCATAATCTGGTATCCTAACATATCCTATTTTACTCTAATTAATATTTTAAAATTCCTTACAGAAACTCTAAATTGATTACATACCAAATAAAGCTGTGATCACTGTCTGTAAACCATTTCCCTGGTCTTCTTTAAGTAAGTATGCATGTTAGATTCTTCGTGTGCCTTTAATAGTGTAGAATGGGCTGGGTGTGGTGGCTCACGCCTGTAATCCCAACACTTTGGGAGGCCGAGGTGGGCAGATCACCTGAGGTCAGGAGTTCGAGACCAGCCTTGCCAACATGGCGAAACCCTGTCTCTACTAAAAGTACAAAAATTAGCCAGGGATGATAGCGGGTGCCTGTAATCCCAGCTACTCAGGAGGCTGAGTCAGGAGAATTGCTTGAACCCAGGAGGCACTGCACTCCAGCCTGGGCTACAAGAGCAAGACTGTCTCAAAAAAAAAAAGTGTAGCATAGTGCTTTCCATAGTATAAATGTGTGCAAATATTTATAAATGGACAAATTAATGAAGGGTCTGTTTCAATTCAAAATAACTCAAATTTTGAAGCTCACAGAATTTTTGCTGTTGTTGTTAAGAGCAGTGGTCTATGTAGAAAGAGGACTGTCAAATCCAAACTTATTAGTTACAGAAGCATGAGGTTAAGCAATCATGATAAAATGGTATAGCCTTGAAGCACAATTCTTAATTGTTTGAAAGTTTAATCTTTTTCATTTGTGCCAATGATTTATGTTGATGGATTCTAAGTCATCAACATTTTTTTCAACTCTTGTTTTCCTCACAAGTTATTAAACAATAGATTTTTTTCAGATGTCATTTTAATATATTTACTCATGGATTAGGTAACACATTCTCAGACTATTTAGTTACCTAAAACAACATTCTTTTATTATCTATCACAGAATGCCTGGTTGACAATGGAGATTATAGTGATTACAAAATATTTTGATATCATACGAAAATATTTTTCTTTACACTGCTAGAAAACCCTTGCTCTAGAACTATGGAGAATACAAACTTCAAAATCAAACTTAAAAAAAAAACATATTCTCCATGAAATTTTAGAATTAAGAAATTGCATTGAATGAAATTTTTATGTCAACAAGGGCAATTGCCTGTATCAAATATACACATCTCCCATGTGCAGGTCTCCCACTACCCAGTGCATTATGGGACAGAACACAGGGCTAGACATTAGACACCATGAGAGACTTCCCTTCTGTCGTGTGTGATTCGGGAAGAGCCATTCCCTCCTTTGATGTGGCAGTGACTGGAATCCATAATCAGAAGGGTTGAGCATAATACTGATCTTGAGCCCTATTCTATCAACTTATTGTTCAATGTTTATGAGAGTGTAGGTTCCAGACTTGATGTAATCAGCGGGGATGCAAGCATTGTAGTTGTTCCCAGTCTTGATATTCCATGTCAGAACTCTATAGGGTTAGTTACTTTAAAAACTATTCCATAGTGGGTTTCCCTGATGTTCTGTAAGAGGCTATCTCTTTCAGAATCCAGTCTCTGGGGAATGGCTTTGGATAAATTGAACCCTACCTCAGAGTGATAGTTTTGAGCAAGTGTAATTCCTCACTGGAAGTTGTTATGGTTTGAATGTGTCCCCCAAAGTTCTGAAACTGACCCAATAGTCACATAGATAGTTTTTCAAATAAACATTGAAATTGACCCTTCTTGTCTTAAAGCTTGAACCTTACATTTGTTTTATCTGAGTTCCTTCCTCAGGAAACCACCTTAGGGCCTCTCAAAAAAAGACTCAAAGAACTGAAACTCACCAGATCACTGCATTCAGACAATGAGATGCAGGACCCCTCATTCATCATGATTGCCTCTTTGCCCTTCCCTAGTTCTTCTTTTACAAAACATTGCTACATTTCTTCCCTGCTATATAAACCCCTAGTTTTAGCTGGTCAGGGAGATGGATTTGAGACTGATCTCCCATCACCTCAGCTGTAGCACCTGATTAAAGCCTTCTTCCTTGGCAATACTTGTCTCTGTGATTTGCTTTTTGTGCAGTGAGCAGCAGAACCTAGACAAAATGCCAGGTGTTTCAGTAACAAATTTATGTACTGGAAACTTGATAATGTGATGGCATTAGGGGATGAAAACTGATGGGAGACGTTTGGGTCATGGGGGCACCACCTGCATGAATAGAATAATGCCATTATTATGGGAATGGTTTTCTTATTTTAAAATATGGGTTTGGCCACCTCTTGCTCTTTGTCTCATTCTTTTTTGCCTCTCCCCCTTCTGCCGTGGGATGAGGCAGCAGGACAGCCCTTGTGAGATGCCAGCCTCTAAATAAAGTTATGTTCTTTATAAATCACTCAGTCTGTGGTATTCTGTTATAGCAGCACAAGACAAGCCAAGACAGAAGCTTTATTAAGCTGCTTTGTAATTTTTTTCATCATTAAAAATCTTTCTTAAAGGTGTAGAACTTGTAATAGAGAAAATAATTTGAAAGGAAAAATTAACAGAACCAATTTTCATAATATATTGGTATATCATCTAACTTAAATTTAGTAAAGGAACTTACTTTTCTAGTTAGTAAATGGAGTATGTTTCCTTTTATTAGCCAAGATTTTGAATATCTCTACTTTATTCAAATTTGGGGGGAAATGGTGGAAATTAGGAAGCATAACATATAATGAAGATATATGAGAAAGGGCAATTTATTCATAATAGACTCCAAAATTGTATCAGCAAAATTGACCTTTTTAAAAAACTTCTGGTACTAGTATTTGAAACAGTACTCACATCACATTTACTTCTATTTGAAAAAGGAAAATATGCATACATTATCTAAAGGGGTTGTATAAATGGATTCAGTAGTCAAATTTCCACAGAATGTCATGCCACAATATTCCAGAATTCCAATTACATTTTAGAATTGGACTGTCCACAAAGATGGTTTTAGGAAGGAATACACATACGTGCACACGTGCACACACACACACACACACACACGCAAACTAAAATTGTCCTGAGTTTATTTCTCGAGGACTTATTTAAAAGGTAAATGAAAGGTACTGATATATCAAATAGAACAATTTTCTAGAAGCCAGTTAAGTATTGTTTGTCTGAATTTGTTTAAAAAAATCATTAAGTAAAAAGCACTTGAAATATAATGGAGTCTATTTGCAAAAACTTCTAAATTTCTGTTATGTAACAACCAAGAAACCTAAAATCATGTACCATGAATCATGTAATTGTTAATATTACAATGAAATTGTTTAGGATCTGAGTCCTAAAAGAAGGGAAAAAAGAAAGAAAAATAAGTTGAGAATAAGCTCTTTTATATAATTCAATTATTTGTAAAAGTTTTATGACTGAGTTCAAATTTGCTAAAGGTAAGAGGTTGTTTTCTTAGCTTCCATACATCTGGTCAAAGCTGTGGCTATGAGAGAGGATATTCAATGAAATATGAGCTTTGATACTAATTTGGGTCTCACCAATGCCAAGGTCAGCTCCTCTGGGTTATAGTAACAGACTATTCATCATGCTTTGTCTCCATGTGTGGCCTTGTTCTGAACTGATGAGAATCTGCAGTTCACTGGGCATTGCTTGTGACTGAAGGGCTAAAATTAAATCAAATGACAGGGAATCAGTTGGATTCATCTCTATATATAAAAGATATTTTCTTAGGATAAAGAAGAGTCAAGAAGTAAAGAAACTCTTAGAAAATATTCCTTAATTCCAGTTAGATCCAGACATGACATGCTATTTATTCAAAAAATTTATTCTCAGCAAGGGGAGCTTGAGTAGGTAGGTAAAAAATTTGTTTTCAAAGACTTCTTTTTGAATCATTAATCCATTTTCCTCTGCATTTCTAAACTAGCTTTCTTCTAGAAAAAATTTGTTCATTGTTGGTGCTTTGGAAAGAAAGTTTTTGATCACTCTGAAAAAAAGTACACTAAAATGTGAAAGTAGTGCTAACAAATTATGCCCTGACTACAAAATGAAGAAAATTAGAACATATCTCTGAACTCTGAACATATACATTTTAAGAAAAATTTTCTATCTTAAGAAGATAGGAAGACTCAAAATTAAGATATTAGTTGCATTTTTACAAAGGTATTTGCATTTCTCACATTCAACATTTTACAGTACAAACTAGAATGAGCTAACATTTTGTTTCAATGTTCATAAATACAACGTCAAGAGGCAGCTATATTAAATTTGGAATAAAATGATTTTGTTTCAAAGCTAAAATGGATTATCTCGCTGTTGTTTAACTTTGAATAAGTCATTTAAATATTTGAGACCTTGGTGTCTAATCTCTTTATAAACTCTAAAATGAATATAATGCTGTTAAACCCACAAGGTGATTGTCATTCTCAGTTTTTTCCCAGTCCTGCCTTACCCACCATTCATAACAGATGCCTACTTCAGTTAATACTCTCCAGTCGATCAAACTAAGGTCTAAGGCTGGTGATTGTACATCCAGTGACAATTTTCCACTGGCTGATTGGGTCTGGAAATTGTCTGGGAAAGAGTTTTCTTACATCAGACACCACAGAAACAATAATTTTTTAATATGATAATGTTTGAGTAATTCTCACCCAAAGTCTTTCATAAAATCTATTCAAATTATTTAATATAAATTCATTGCATATATTGGAATAATATATCTTTTGGGAATATCTATATTCTCAGTCAAGGAAGCTGGACTCCTACTATATAATTCCACATATAGTTTTAAATGACATTGAATATATTGTTATAGTATATAAATAGGATGGAATTTAATTTTAAATACTAATAATCAAAAATATATGATAAACTGATTTACTCTGAATCTATGAAAATTTTGACCTTATCTTATATTCTTTTCCATGAATGGTGTATTTACATATTCCAGGAATTATAATAATAACATATGAAATACATATTTATTGATAAGCCCTCCACATATGAGAATTTATAAAATACTATAATTAACTTTTACCTCAGTACAGATTAATCTAATTCCAACTTTTAGTTTCTCCAATGTAATTGCAGGATTATGGAATTGTAACAAATTTACTGTCAAGAATGAGAGGTGAAGACGTTTCTCTACTATCCTCTTATATTTTCTCATTAAATTTTTGTCAACAACATCCTGTAATTTTTTTTTTATACTTTAAGTTTTAGGGTACATGTGCACAACGTGCAGGTTAGCTACATATGTATACTGTGCCATGTTGGTGTGCTGAACCCAGTAACTCATCATTTAACATTAGGTATATCTCCTAAAGCTTTCCCTCCCCACTCCCCCCATCCCACAACAGGCCCCGGTGTATGATGTTCCCCTGCCTGTGTCCGTGTGTTCTCATTGTTCAATTCTCACCTATGAGTGAGAACATGTGGTGTTTGGTTTTTTGTCTTTGCGATAGTTTGCTGAGAATGATGGTTTCCAGCTTCATCCATGTCCCTACAAAGGACACGAACTCATCATTTTTTATGGCTGCATAGTATTCCGTGGTGTATATGTGACACATTTTCTTAATCCAGTCTATCATTGTTGGACATTTGGGTTGGTTCCAAGTCTTTGCTATTGTGAATAGCGCCGCAATAAACATACTGGTTTATGTAAAACAATAACTGAAACACTTAATTTAAACTTAAAATCTTCTTCCAAATTATAGTTTACATGAAGATTGAATTCCGTGGCTAAATAGCTTTTGAATTTTTGTCTATGTGTTCTACTAACTTTTAACAACGGCCCCTAGATTTCATTTTTACAAATATGCGTATAAATGATGGGTGAGCCCCTAATTGTGCAACATAGTTCCAGTAGTCTCGTAGTATCTTTTGATTTTCTTATGGTCTGCTCTATGATTTACTAAATTTAGCACCTATGAAATATATTGAAATGTTAAGCCTGCACAAACCTTTCTACCTAGGTTAACCATTTGGCTCTCTCAGTCATAAAAGG
The DNA here is from genome assembly GCF_000001405.40 of Homo sapiens. Classification (NCBI taxonomy): domain Eukaryota; kingdom Metazoa; phylum Chordata; class Mammalia; order Primates; family Hominidae; genus Homo; species Homo sapiens. The sequence goes on along the minus strand of NC_000011.10, from coordinate 39,242,722 downwards.
TACTTTCCAGGCCTTTCCTGTCTACCATACTTCTAATTTCTTCTGATAAATTTAAAGTGACTTTCCCAGCACTATCACTACAAATGTTAGTGACCTCTTTATGCTAGAAATTCCTTCCAGAAAAATGATAACTGCCTAGCAGGACTACCATGAATATTAAATGAGATAATACATATGATAGAAACCCAGTGATTGGTACTGTGGACTATCAGTATTAGTTTGCTTCTTTTCCTGGCTAAAAGGAAACAAAAAGAATACCTCATCACTAAGCAGGAGCTGAGAGACATTGATTAAATTTAGGCCGTATTTCAAAGTGGTTATTCCATTACAATGCTTTAACTAGGACACTAATTAGAAAATGGCATAGATAGTGCTTAGTTTTGGCTGCTATTACAATTTCTGGCATAGAAAAACTATACTTATTTCATTCAGAAACTGTAGAATTACACTGTATCCACTTTAAAACATGCCTCCACTTATAAGTTGATTCCATCTGAAAAGAGGAATGAATGTTTGATTAATTATATTTGTGTTGTTTTATTTTATTTAAAGATAAAGTAATATAGAAACTTATAGATGCTTATTGAAAATAAGTGTGATTTTTGAAGTACTCTGTGACATTATCATAGACAAGGAAATACTTTAAATGAAGTAAAATTGATAGATTGCATATACTAAGCATGCATTGACTAAATATAGGAAAAAGGTTTTCAGAGATAATTTACATAAGAAAAAATATTTTTAGGCAGAATAGAGCCAAGCTCTTTTACATATCTCCAAAATAATATTAGGCTGTTTTTCAGGGGTCTATTTCTTGGTGAATACTGAATGTGAATATTTTACACCCCTCCAACCCTCAGCTCAGTGAGTTTGTCTAAAGATATGTTTACCTTCTTATTCTTTCAGTCAAAATTGGCAGACCCCTCTAGGGAACATGTCTTTCAATGATGAGCTTTTTTCTCTGAAGTTTCACCATTTTAATACATTAGCTCCACAAGTCCTATTGCCTTGTTAAAACTCTTACATATTAAGTTTGATTTTTTTTTCTTTTTAAAAGAATTTAAAGTTATTCTCAGTAGAAGCGTTACTCCAAAATATATCATGTGTCATTTTTGGTAGTGGAACTACTTGGTACTCTTCTTAAATTTAATTATTAGGAAGAGGTAGAAGGTAAAATAACAAAATCAGCTTCATATACTCCAGTATTGTGTTGCTGGTCGTAGAAGAGGCTGAAAATTTGGCATTCGGCATTCAGTAAAAAAGTAGAGCCCTGGGCGGGCTCGGTGGCTCACACCTGTAATCCCAGCAATTTGGGAGGTCGAGGCAGGCGGATTACGAGGTCGGGAGATCGAGACCATCCTGGCTAACATGGTGAAACCCTGTCTGTACTGTAAAATACAAAAAATTAGCCGGGCGTGGTGGCAAGTGCTTGTAGTCCCAGCTACTCGGGAGGCTGAGGCAGGAGAATGGCCAGAACCCAGGAGGCAGAGCTTGCAGTGAGCCGAGAACTCCAGCCTGGGCGACAGAGCGAGACTCCGTCTCAAAAAAAAAAAAAAAAAAGAAAAAAAGTGGAGCCCCCCACAATAGCCCAAACATTAGTTTGGCACCCTGAACTGTTATTATACTAAGTAAAAATTTAATATACCAAGTAAAAAACAGCTAGTCACAGAAGACCACATGTTTTTTTTTTATTCCATTTATAAGAAATGTCCAGAATAGGCAAATTTATAAAGCCTGGAAGTACAGTAGAATTTTTCTAGTGTCAGCCACCTTGGAGGAAATGCAGAGGGATTGCTCATGAGTATGAGATTTCTTTTTGGGGTGATGAAAATAAACTAATATTTATTGTGATAATAGTTGTACACCTCTGTGAATATACTAACACAGTTTGAATTTTATATTTTAACTGGTGCATCACATGTCATGTGAATTATATCTCAACCTATAACTTTAAAAATGAAAGCAAAATAAAGACATTTCCAGGGAGAGAAAAACAAATAACCGATCATCAGACCTAATTGCAACAAAAAGTCAGATATTTCTATGGCTAAATAGAAGATAAAATAAAATGAACAGATGAAAGTTTGGATATTTAGAAAGAAAAAATGGAAAAATATGTACAGAAAAACACTAAATAAATTTTAAATCTATAAATTAATGATAATAATTTTTATATATTCAAAATTTATAAAATAAAATGCATGAAAAAATAAAATAAAAGAAATATACTAATAAGTGTTAAAGTGTTCTGAGGTTTTTTACTTGGAAGTACAAAAGTAGTAATTTTCCAGCACTATTTGTTGAAAAGACTACTCTTTTCTCCATTACATTGTCTTTAAACCCTTTTCAAAAATCATTTGAACATAAATGTGAAAGTTTATTTCTAGACTTCCAATTTTATTCCATGGATCTATGTGTCTGTCCTAATGCCACTGCCACACAGACTTGATTACTATAGTTTTGCAGTTAGTTCTGAAATCAGAAGTGTGAGTCATCTATTTTTGTACATTTTCAAAATGGTCTTGACTATTCATGGTCCCTTGAGATTTAATAATCAGCTTGTCAATTTCTCCAAAGAAGCCTTTTAGGATTATGAGTGGGATAGTGTCTAACTTGAAGATCGATTCTAAAATGATTGCTATTTTTACATTAATAACTTCTAATTTATGAACATATGATGTTGGTCCATTTATTTAGATGCTTTTTAAATTCTTTCAGAAATGTTGTGTAGTTTTCAGTGTATATATCTTGCTTTTTTTTGCTAAGTTGATCTGTATTTTATTCTTTCCGAAGCTATTGTAAATGACAGTAATTTACAATAAACTTAGTAAGTCAGAAACATATGTTATGTTTATATTTTTAAAACAAGATAAAAAATCGGAATATAACTATTGCCCCACCTGAGATGTGAATCATCCCTTTGTCCAGTGTGTCCACACTCTCCAAGCTACCTGCCTGTTAATCACTCAATAGCCATCTCCCTTATCAGATCAAGTGTCAAATATCACAGTGTGTATGCGCCACTAGCCCTATTTGAGGTAGTAATGGCCCCAAAGTGCAAGAGTAGTGATACTGGCAATTTAGATATTCCAAAGAGAAGCTGTAAAATGCTTTCTTTAAGTGAAAATGTAAAAATTTTTGACTTAATGGAAAAAAAAAGAAGTCATATGCTGAGGTTGCTAAGATCTATAGTAAGAAATGCACGTCTATCTGTGAAACTGTGAAGAAGGTAAAAGAAATTTGTGCTGGCATTGCTGTCACACCTCAAACTGCAAAAGTTATGGCAACAGTGCATAAGTGCTTAGTTAAGATGGAAAAGGCATTAAATTTGTGGATGGAAGACATAAACAGAAATGTGTTTCAATTGACAATGATGTGTTATGTCAGAATGCATTGAGGCTATATGACAACTTCAGCAGGAAGTCCCTGAAACAAGAAACACAAAGCCATTTACTTCAAATTAGAGACAGTGCACAGATTCAGGAATGGGTTTAAATGAAAAAATGTAAAAATTACTGGGTAGGTTGCGTCTGCTGATTAAACTTAATGAGAGATATGTATATTTATGAAAAAAATGATATGTATAGGGTTCCATGCTATCTGTGGTTTCAGGCATCCACTGAGGGTCTTAGAATATATCCCCCAAAATAAGAGGGAGTTACTGGACTTTTGCATTAAGAAAAGCAGAGAGAAAACTGTAATAGCTGGAGCTAGAGGTATATGAAAAAAATTGTTTCTGTTAAGATAAAATATCCCATAACATGATTATATACTAATCAGAATGGTAATAGACAAAGTAGGTTTAATTAATGAACTGAAGTCCTTAATATGGTGAAAGGTGAGTTTATCCACAACAAAAAGGGAAATGGCCTTTTCTTGGAAATAATTAGGAAAGGTTGAATGGAGGAAGAAGAACAAGTTTGAGTGGCTCCTGAAGTGGGGAAGAAATATGAAAACGAGTTTAAAATATTATAAATCGAATTATTCCTAATGAGACCTTTTGTGGCAGAATAACCTAATAGGTACTTAGGTTAGAAGATTCAGTGTATTGTCATATTTCAAGGATTGGGTATGGTAGGGGTTAATTTGAATAGAAGAAAGAGAAGGACAGGAAGTATTTGAATTCTCTAGAAAACACTGAAGAGGCAGAAAAGAGGCAGGGTATAACATGTGAGAAATGAGATGAAGACATCCTTAAAATGAGAGACACTAAAGAAATGGTGTCAAGAGAAACATATGAAATGGCATTTATAAATTATTTGATTATGGATATCACTTAATAAACACATTTTCTCAGTCTTCCCTGTGAATTTTTAAATTATATACACATTACTCACTAATGTTCATATCTACCCAGGGATAGAAGAATGATTTAAAGTGCATTGATTTCGTGTCCAAGAAGCCCTATGAAGCACGTAAATAGCATTTGTGCACACAGGAGTGCCAGAAAGGGACACTTTGAACTCTGGAGGTCATTGCCTGTAACCGTTTCTGAAAGGATTCTTGCCTGTCCTCACGGAGCCATCCTACCATCCAGCTGGGCATGTATTTGACTTTAAATTCTGCCTCTCAAGCACTTGAAAACATGTGTCTTTCCTGTTTGTAATAATCAATGATGTACTGTGTAGCTGATGTCACTACAACACCTATTTGGAGATGCTCTGTGTGGTAGACCAAAAAAGCCTGATGTTACTTACTGCCAACACAAACATATGAGATTGTGTTGAGACCCCTAATGTGCCCCTACCATACTTTCAAATTCCAAGAGCTGAAGGAATCAATAACTCAGGTTGGGAAGCCCTGAAGAAAAGATACTGAGGTTCTAGAAAGGAGGTGTGGTAAGTGCTGTAGTGGCTGAATCCATAAGGCATTTCAGAAATGGTATTAGATAATGTTGGTATTCAATTTTTAATGTAACACTTCAGAAAAATTCAAGCAAAGATACAAGTCAAGATGGCTAGGATTCTTACTTCCAACAATTGACTGTAAAGTTATTTCATCATCGGAGACCAGAAGGCAGAAGGAGAAGCAAACTTTTGGAGTGGAAGACAATGAGTTTGTTTTTGACAAATAAGTTTTAGAGTGACTACAACACAAACATTATAAATAAATTTCAAGCAGGAAGTTGGCTATAAAATATAGATCAATTATTTCTCTAATGTTCATCACTTTTTTGAGATTGCACAGTCTTGAAGATAAGGAATTAATTTTTTTTTTAAATATTAGGAAAGATAAAAAACACTGCTAAAAACAAAATGGCTACTAGAGTACTTAGATATAGTTTCTCATGAAAGTGATGTGAGGGAGAACTGGCTGCAGGATTGAAGCCATTTTGGAACATAAACACACAAAATTATGATCAGCTGATGATTAAATATTTGATAAATGTATTAACCAAAGTGAGAAAAAAATAATCACAATCTTTAGAGACTCATCAGACTGTGGAAGGCGTGGCTTTGCCTCCTTCAGATTATCAACCAAGCAGTTAGATCTGTGTACATCTTCCCTTAGTCCTCCAGGAGAGCTACCAGCCACTGGCTTCTCTTTGATAAATAGAAAGCAGCTGGTGTCTCAAGGATGGCTATTAATCTCCTCACAAGATAAAAGGAACTGGCAAAGCTGAGGAATGCTTTGTAATCATTGATTCATGCATTCCTTTCTGAAGAATAATAAAAGATCTTTGAAGCAGTTTCTGTTTAGAAGATGGATGCATTTTAATTGATACATGGTCACTTTAAGAAGTCAGGGTGTACCAATTTGAAGTCAGAATTTTAAACAAAAAAAACTATTTTTTATTAAACTTTAAGTTCTGGGATACATGTGCAGAATGTGCAGGTTGGTTAAATAGGTATATATGTGCCATGGTGGTTTGCTGCACCCATCAACCCGTCATCTAGGTTTTAAGCCCCGCATGCATTAGGTATTTGTCCTAATGCTCTCCCTCCCCTTGGCCCACATCCCCTGACAGGTCCTGCTGTGTGATGTTCCCCTCCCTGTGTCCATGTGTTCTGATTGTTGAACTCCCACTTATGAATGAGAACATGCAGTGTTTGGTTTTCTGTTCCTGTGCTAGTGTGCTGAGAATGATGGTTCACAGCTTCATCCATGTCCCTGCAAAGGACATGAACTCATTCTTCTTCATGTCTGCATAGTATTCCATGGTGTATATGTGCCACATTTTCTTTATCCAGTCTATTATTGATGGGCATTTGGGTTGGTTCCAAGTCTTTGCTATTGTGAATTGCACTGCAGTAAACATAGGTGTACATGTGTGTTTATAGTAGAATGATTTATAATCCTTTGGGTATATACCCAGTAATGAGATGGCTGGGTCAAATGGTATTTCTGATTCAAGATCCTTGAGGAATCGTCACATAGTCTTCCAGAATGGGTGAACTAATTCGCACTCCCACCAACAGTATAAAAGCATTCCTATTTCTCCACATCCTCTCAGCATCTGTTGTTTCCTGACTTTTTAATGATAGCCATTCTAACTGGCATGAGATGGTATCTCACTGTGGCTCTGCTTTGCATTTCTCTAATGACCAGTGATGATGAGCTTTTATCATGTTTGTTGCCCACATAAATGTCTTCTTTTGCGATGTGTCTGTTTGTATCCTTTGCCCACTTTATGATGGGGTTGTTTGTTTTTTCTTGTAAATTTGTTTAAGTTCCTTGTAGATTCTGGATATTAGACCTTTGTCAGATGGATAGATTGCAAAAATTTTCTCCCATTCTGTAGGTTGCCTGTTCACTCTGATGATAGTTTCCTTTGCTGTGCAGAAGCTCTTTGATTTCACTAGATTCCATTTGTCAATTTTGGCTTTTGTTGCCATTGCTTTTGGTGTTTCAGTCATGAAGTCTTTGCCCATGCCTGTGTCCTGAATGGTATTGCCTAGGTTTTCTTCTAGGGTTTATGGCTTTAGGTTTAAGCCTTTAATCCATTTTGAGTTAATTTTTGTATGAGATGTAAGGAAGGTGTTCAGTTTCAGGTTTCTGCATATTGCTAGCCAGTTTTCCCAGCACCATTTATTAAACAGGGAATCCTTTCTCCTTTGCTTGTTTTTGTCAGGTTTGTCAAGATCAGATGGTTTTAGATGTGTGGTGTTATTTCTGCAGACTCTGTTCTGCTCAATTGGTCTATATATCTGTTTTGGTACCAATATCAGCTCTTAATTACTGCTTCAATTTCAGAATTTATTATTGGTCTATTTAGGGATTCGACTTCTTCCTGGTTTACCCTTGGGAGGGTGTATATATCCAGGACTTTATCCATTTCTTCTAGATTTTCTAGTTTATTTGCATACAGGTGTTTATAATATTCTCTGATGGTAGTTTGTATTTCTGTGGGAAAAGTGGTGATACCCCCTTTATCATTTTTTATTATGTACATTTGATTCTTCTTTCTTTTCTTCTTTATTAGTCTGGCTAACAGTCTATTTTGTTAATCTTTTCAAAACACCAACTCCTAGATTCATTGAGTTTTGGAGGGTTTGTCATGTCTTTATCTCCTGCAGCTCTGCTCTGATCTTAGTTATTTCTTGTCTTCTGCTAGCTTTTGAATTTGTTTGCTCTTGCTTTTCTAGTTCTTTTCATTGTGACGTTAGGTTGTCAATATTAGATCTTTCCCACTTTCTGCTGTGGGGATTTAGTGCTATACATATCCCTCTAAACACTACTTTAGCTGTGTCCCAGAGATCCTGGTATGTTGTGTCTTTGTTCTCATTGGTTTCAAATAATTTATTTATTTCTTCCTTAATTTCATTATTTACCCAGTAGTCATTTAAGAGCAGGTTGTTCAGTTTGCCTGTAGTTGTGCAGTTTTGAGTGAGTTTCTTAATCTTGAGTTCTAATTTGATTGCACTGTGGTCTGAGAGACTGTTTATGATTTCCCTTTGCTGAGGAGTGTTTTACTTTCAATTATCTGGTCAATTTTATAATAAGTGCTATGTGGTGCTAAGAAGAATGTATATTCTGTTGATTTGGGGTGGAGAGTTCTGCAGATGTCTGTTAGGTCTGCTTGGTCCAGAGCTGCGTTCAAGTCCTGAATATTCTTGTTAATTTTCTGTCTCATTGATCTGTCTAATATTTACAGTGGGGTGTTAAAGTCTCCCACTATTATTGTGTGGGAGTCTAAGTCTCTTGGTAGGTCTCTAAGAACTTGCTTTATGAATCTGGATGCTCCTGTATTGAGTGCATATATATTTAGAATAGTTAGTTCTTGTTGCATTGATCCCTTTACCATTATGTAATGCCTTTTTGTCTTTTTTTATCTTTTTTGGTTTAAAATCTGTTTTATCAGAGACTAGGATTGCAACCCCTGCTTATTTTTGCTTTCCACTTGCTTGGTAAATATTCCTTCATCCTTTTATTTTGAGCCTATGTGTGTCTTTGCACATGAGATGGTTCTCCTGAATACAGCACACTGATGGGTCTTGACTCTTTATCCAATTTCCCAGCCTGTGTCTTTTAATTGAGGCATTTAGCTCATTTACATTTAATGTAAATATTGTTATGTGTACATTTCATCCAGTCAACATGATGCTAGCTGTTTATTTTATACATTAGTTGATGCAGTTTCTTCGTAGTGTCATTGGTCTTTATACTTTGATGTGTTTTTGCAGTGGCTGGTACCGGCTTTTCCTTTCCATATTTAGTGGTTCCTTCAGGAGCTCTTGTGAGGCAGGCCTGGTGGTAACAAAATCCCTTCGCATGTGCTTGTTTGTAAAGGACTTTATTTCTTCTTTGCTTGTGAAGCTTAGTTTGACTGGATATGAAATTCTGGGTTGAAAATTCTTTTCTTTATGAATGTTGAATATTGGCCCATACTCTCTTCTGGCTTGTCGGGTTTCTGCAGAGACATCTGCTGTTTGTTGGATGGGCTTCCCTTTGTAGGTAACCTGACCTTTCTCTCTGGCTGCCCTTAACATTTTTTCCTTCATTTCAACCTTGGAGAATCTGATGATTATGTGTCTTGGGGTTGCTCTTCTTGAGGAGTATCTTTGTGGTGTTCTCTTATTTCCTGAATTTGAATGTTGGCCTGTCTCGCTAGGTTGGGGAAGTTCTCCTGGATAATATCCTTAAGTGTGTTTTCCAATTTGGTTCCATTCTCCCTGTCACTTTCAGGTACAACAATCAATTGTATATTTGGCCTTTTCACATAGTTTCATATTTCTTGGAGGCTTTATTCATTCTTTTTCATTCTTTTTTCTCTAATCTTGTCTTCATGGTTTATTTTATTAAGTTGATCTTCAATCTCTGATATCCTTTCTTCCCCTTGATCAGTTCAGCTATTGATAGTTGTGTATGCTACACGAAGTTCTCGCACTGTGTTTTTCAGCTCCATCAGGTTATTTATGTTCTTCTCTAAAGTGGTTAATCTAGTTAGCAGTTCCTGTAACCTTTTATCAAGGTTCTTAGCTTCCTTGCATGGGGTTACAACATGCTCTTTTAGCTTACAGAAGTTTGTTATTGCTCACCTTCTTAAGCCTATTTCTGTCAATTTGTCAAAGTCATTCTATGTCCAGTTTTGTGCCCCTGCTGGAGAGGAGTTGTGATCATTTGGAAAAGAGAGATTCTGGTTTTTGGAATTTTCAGCATTTTAGCGCTGATTTTTCCTCATCTTTGTGGATTTTTCTACCTTTGATCTTTGATGCTGATGGCTTTTGGATGGGGTTTTTCTGTGGGCATCTTTTTCATTGAGATTGATGTTATTGCTTTCTGTTTGTCAGTTTTCCTTCTAACAGTCAGGCCCCTCTTCCACAGCTCTGCTGGTATTTGCTGGAGGTCCACTCCAAACCCTGTTTGCCTGGGTATCACCAGCGGAGGCTGTAGAACAGCAGATTGCTGCCTGTTCCTTCCTCTGGAAGCTTCGTCCCAGAGGGGCACCCTCCTGATGCCAGCCGGAACTTTCCTGTATGAGGTGTCTGTTGATCCCTGCTGAGAGGTGTCTCCCAGTTAAGAGATACAGAGGTCAGGGACCCACTTGAGGAGGCAGTCTGTCCCTTAACAGAGCTCAAGAGCTGTGCTGGAAGATCTGCTGCTCTCTTCAGAGCAGGCACGCAGAATCATTTAAGTCTGCTGAAGCTGTGCCCACAGCTGCCCCTTCCCCCAGGTGCTCTGTAGCAGGGAGATGGGAATTTTTTCTACAAGTCCTTTACTGGGGCTGCTGCCTTTCTTTCAGAGATGCCCTGCCCAGTGAGGAGGAATCTAGAGAGGCAGTCTGGCCCCAGGTGTTTGGCTACACTGTGGTGAGTTCTGCACAATCAGAGTTAACACTGTGAGGGGAAAACCGCCTACTAAAGCCTCAGTAATGGCGGACACCCCTCCTCCCACCAAGCTCGATTGTCCTGGGTTAACTTCAGACTGCTGTGCTGTCAGTGAGAATTTCAAGCCAGTGGTTCTTAGCTTGCTGGGCTCCATGGGAGTGGGACCCTCTGAGCAAGACCACTTGGCTCCCTGGCTTCAGCCCCTTTTCCAGGGGAGTGAATGGTTCTGTCTCGCTGGGTTTCCAGGTACCCCTGGAGTGCAAAAAAGAAAAAAAAAATCCTGCAGCTAGCTCAGTGTCTGCCCAAACAGCTGCCCAATTTTGTGCTTGAAACCCAGGGCCCTGGTGGTGCTTGCACACGAGGGAATCTCCTGGTCTATGGGTTGCAAAAACCATGGGAAAAGCATAGTATCTGGGCCGTATAGCACAGTCCCTCATGGCACCGTCCCTCACAGCTTCCCTTGGATAGGGGAGGGAGTTCCCTGGCCCCTTGCACTTCCTAGGTGAGGCAATGCCCCACCCTGCTTCTGCTCACCCTCCATGGGCTGCACCCACTTTCTAACCAGTCCCAATGAGATGAGCCGGCTATCTCAGTTGGAAATGCAGAAATCACCCAACTTCTGTGTTGGTCTTGCTGGGAGCTGCAGACTGGAGCTGTTCCTGTTCAGCCATCTTGCCAGAAAGTCTAAACAAAGTTTCTTACTCAGAGCAAACTATTACCTAAAGGTGTATATTGTATGAGGTTTCTTAGTGTCTTTCATTATAGAGTAGAATCACAAACCTGGTCAATTCTAGGATGAGTCAGCTAAAAGTTCTTCTTCTTGGTCTTAACATCCTTTCTACCATCTACTCAACTGTATTTTAGGGCTAAAAACTGAAACATAGTGATTTAGGTTTTAGAACAATACATTTATTTAAAAGAATAGTATATGGACCTCAAAATGAATAGTAGCCATTGGAATGTCTTTGTAGGTTCAATTTTTTTAAATATGAGAATTACTTATAATTATAATGCCATTATTCAACATAATTTACTTTATTACAATATTCATCAACTGGAAGAGATCCAAAATTTCTTTGAAAATAGTTGAAAGAAAATTTATTTTCTTAAACAGAATATTTTATATAAATGAAATTAAATTGTTTAATCACACAACCATGTAATATTGCATATTACATATATATTGCAAATATTGCTTATTACATATTATTAATATTATTATTACTATTATTATTATTGAGACAGAGTCTTGCTCTGTCGCCCAGGCTGGAGTGCAGTGGCATGATCTCGGCTCACTGAAAGCTCCGCCTCCTGGGTTCACGTCATTCTCCTGCCTCAGCCTCCCCAGTAGCTGGAACTACAGGTGCCCACCACCACGCCTGGCTAATTATTTGTATTTTTAGTAGATACGGGGTTTCACCGTGTTAGCCAGGATGGTCTCAATCTCCTGACCTCATGATCCGCCCGCCTCAGCCTTCCAATACATATGTATATTATAAATTAAAAATGTAATTTTTAAATATTTTATACTTAAAAATAGTAATTTGGTAAAGTCATATTCAGTCCAGAGCTTTTTAAATATGAGTCCAACAATAATTAGTAATAATTCAATAGCTTCCTCATCAAATCCACAATCAGATACCCAAGGGCTTATATAGCAGAAATTGTGATGGACAAATATACAAATGTGTAAATGAAGAAAATATTCCCTCTGAGAATTCCACAGTACTTTATTAATCCCTGTTTATAAGAATCATTTGGAGTTAACTCAGGATGGAATTTGGAATGCCTATCTACTATATCTAGATAGATGGAGGATATAGTTGATACAAATAAGGCTGAAACTCTTATTATGAATAAACACAAAATAGAATGCAAGGGAAGGGAAGATTAATTCATAGCAGTTTTTATGAACTGGTTATAGTTCATATTTTTCTATTATTTATGCTTGGTCAGTAAGTAAATGATTATTAATTTTATGGATTTTGATGGCCAGATATTATTTGAATACATATAACTTCCCACAACCTTTAAACCAAAAATTAGGAGAGATAAAACCTAATAAGTACAACAAAAGCCCTAGAAATCTTAATTTTTTTTTGCCCATTGAAAAAAGCTTAATAAAATACTATGTCATTAATCCGAAAAATAAATGAATTTTGAAATATATACAGATTAATTTATTTTTTCAGGAAACTATTTCACTTGGAGTTAGAAATATTTATTTCTAAACCAAAAATAAATGCAATACTGCTAACAAATTTTTTTTTAAAAAACTATATATTCAGTTGTTGTTCTTAGGTGATTTTTAAATTGTTTTTAAAGCCCTAAACAAGTTTCTATCCAAGATACTGAAAGTGTTTGCAGTATTTCTGACCAAAACTATGTCCCAAAATACATTAAGAATTCCCACTTTAAACTTCCTTATATAAGCCAAAGCATAATGTTAGGTAAGTGTTTTGAATGTATGAATATCTTTGTTTCCTCTCAGTGACACATAGAGTCCTATATTTTGGTTTGTGAAGTTATATATTTTTATTAATTGTTTCTGTGTATGTGTGCATATATTGATGTATTAGCTCATTAATAATGAGTCAATTTTTCTTCCATTTCTGAAAGGTTGATAATAGTTATTCATATTAATAAAATTAATATTGATATATAAAGAGACAATAGTGCCTCAGCACTGACATTTATAATTTCTCTTGCAGAACCACTTTCATTTACTCTAGTTACAAAAGTTGCCAGAAACTGTATTCAATACTTTGGGGTTCTAAGTATCAATATATTGATTAAACATATTTTTACATTGAATAAACTTGTATGTCACTCTCATAAGTGCTCTAACATTTCATATCTATCTTAATATTATGATGATTTTTATAGTACAGATTTACTTCAAACTTGCTGTGGTCTACATGTTGGTGTCCCCCAAAATTCATATGTTAGAACCGAATTGGTAACTTCATATTAAATCAATGTCCATTGCTAATAAGAAGGATTTAATTTATGTTTCAATCCTGGCAGTTAAGATTTGATCAGTACATTCTAGTGAATGAAGAATGAGGCCCTCTTTACTCTTTTACCACCATAGAGAAACATCATAAAAGCTTTAGGAAAAGGTATTAAGGGGAAAAAAAAAAAACTAGGACAATTCCCTCATGGTTTTCATAATCAAGGATTTGTTTATAATAAAACATTCACAATTTTGCAAATGAGTACATAGAAATTTTAGTATATTTTTATTTAGAAAGTGCAAAATGGGGCCAGGTGCAGTGACTCACTCCTGTAATCCTAGCACTTTGGGAGGCCAAGGCGGGCAGATTGCCTGAGCTCAGGAGTTCTTTAATATATTATATTAATATAGTAATATTAAGAGTTTGGGACTTTGGGGAAGTGATTAGGTTATGAGTGCTTCACTCTTATGAATGGGATTGGTGATCTAATAAAAAAGGCTTGAGGGAGGCTGTGTCCTTCTACCATGTCAGGAGGCAACAAGAGGTGCAATCTGTGAAGCAAAGAGCAACTTCACTAGACACTGAATTTGATGGAGCCTTTATCTTGGACTCCCCAGTCTCTGGAATGGTAAGCAATACATTTCTATGATTCATAAATTACCAGTCTAAGGTATTTTGTTATAGCAGCCAGAATGGACTAAGGCAAAGGTTATCCTAATTATGTAGGAGTTTTGGTCATTTTGCAATTTTTTTTTTTTTTTTTTGGAGATGGAGTCTTGCTTTGTCGCCCAGGCTGGAGTGCAGTGGTGCGATCTGGGCTCACTGCAACCTCTACTTCCCGAGTTCAAGCAAGTCTCCTGCCTCAGCCTCCAGAGTAGCTGGGAGTACAGGTGCAAGCTGATGCCATACCGGGCTAATTTTTTTTTTTATATTTTAGTAGAGACTGGGTCTCACCATGTTGCCTGACCTGGTCTCCAACTCCTGAGCTCAGGCAATCTCCCTGCCTCGGCCTCCCAAAGTGCTAGGATTACAGGCGTTGAGTCACTGCACCTGGCCCCATTTTGCACTTTCTAAATAAAAAAATACTAAAATGTCTATGTACTCATTTGCAAAATTGTGAATGTTTTATTGTAAACAAATCCTTGACTATGAAAACCATGAGGGAACTGTCCTAGTTTGTTTTTTTTTTTCCTTAATACCTTTTCCCAAAGCTTTTATGATGTTTCTCTATGGTGGAAAAAGAATAAAGAGGGCCTCATTCTTCATTCACTAGAATGTACTGATCAAATCTTAACTGCCAAGATTGAAACATAAATTAAATCCTGCTTATAGGCAATGGACATTGATTTAATATGAAGCTACCGATGCTATTGACAGGCTAGTCAGAAAGCTACATCTTACTACTAGTAAAATTTACAAACTGAGAGTTATGTTGTCTAATGCTTTTGGAGGTCATGGAAGATGGATTCTAGATCTTCTAATTAGGACTACTCTTAATTTTTAAACCATGCATTTTTTACAACATATTTATATATGTATATATATAAATATATATACATGTATATTTATAAATATATATACATAAATATTTATAAATATATATATATATTTATAAATAAGTATATATATAAATATATATATATATTTATAAATAAGTATATATATAAATATATATATATTTATAAATAAGTATATATATAAATATTTACAACATATTTATATATACTAGATGTCCTGTGACATTGTCAGGATTGCAGCAATTAAGCCACTTGCTGCAGTAAAGAGATGGAGTTAGAGTACTGGATGACAATTGTCATTCAATTGTTCTTACTTTTTGTCATGTAGCTTGGTTACACAGATTGAATTAATCATAGCTTAACACATTATCACTACTGGAACATTCATGATGCATTTTTACCCTTAATTTATCCAGTTATTCAGTTAAATAAAGATAATTTCTCATATCCACCACTCAAACGGACAGCTAGAATACTCCAGAAAACTTACATGTACCTGTTGGAACTGCACCTATCCAGTTTTACTGTCCACCCTAAAATGAGCTGTTACTGTAACTTTTGTGTTTTTATTTAGTTTTTCTTATTTCAAGTTTTATAACACAGGTAGTCCTCTGGTGTTATTTCCAGCTTTATGCGTTAAGCAGTCCCTTATGTTGCCAGTGACTGGCCATACTATCTGTACCATGTGCCAATGTTCTATATGGCACAAGTGTATTTGAGATCCTTTGAAGCACTTTATTCTGTTCTATTGGTAACTTAGTTTGTCCCTTTATAAATATACACTGTCTTAGTAAGTTAAATATAGACTTTTTTCTTAGATTCATTCTAGAAAGTACTCCAATCTCCTCATCTAATTATATTCATAAAGAAAAAATGGAGTTGCAGATAATAAGTGTCTCAATGAAAAGAAATAATGTATTATTGTTAAAAATGAAAAAAAAACCCTCATTTTAAGGCACTACATAATTGAACAGCATTTGATAGAAAATCAGGGAGAAATATTGCGTTCTTATAATGATGCTGTATTCTAGATACTTAAATTGATTTTTGTAAAATTATATAAAGAGAAATTTCTTCAATTTAATACAGAGTCTCAAAATTTCCTCTTTTAGCTACGTTGGTATGTATTTTCTTTGGGCAATGCTGTTGTTGTAAATAAGGAAATTTGAAGAAAGATAAAGCAAAATTTAAAATGAAAAAAAAAAAACTTAACATGCATATGAAGGTTTCAAGGGCTTCTGTGGCATCTAAGACAAGAGAGTCCATAACCCCAGAAAGATGGGAAACTTATTGAGAATAGACCAATAACCTGCACCTTACTTTTCCTCTTGGGACATTTTCCAAGTCTTAAGTGACATCTAGCGAGAGACTAGATAGCCCAGCAGAGCACATCTACTCTGATGTCAAGAAACCAGTAGAGCTTTCTGCAAATTCTTAAAAACATGGAGAAAAGAAAATGGGATTTGGGCATGGCTTTGTTAGCAGTCAAGGCTTGTGCAGCCAAGATTCTGCAGAGAAGAGATGCATAGAGGTTAAATATGATGCTCTACCTGGACTTTTCCTCAGATCATTTCAAAACTCTTAATGTAAACTGTGACAAATACTAAGAAACCTAGTAAAAAGTAGCTGAAACACTTAATGGATCTTTTGACAATCTTACAATGCTGAATATTTAGTGGTTCTGACAATAAATTGGATTTCAGGACCTGGTGAGACCTGGCAAGTTGGTGTGGGGTAGACTTAAAATAGATCAAGCATTGAATATAAATGCAACTTCTAGTTAGCTTCATCCATTACGGATTAAGGTGATCCTTTTTTTTTCCTTACTCTAGAAGCCTGAAAGAGAATGGGTGAATGTTTCCTGGAGAAAGATATCATTCAAAGCCATCTATAATAGTTTAAAACATGATGCCTGACACACAGTGAAATGTTATCAGGTATTCTAAGGGTAAAAAAACAAAAGGTTTGAAAAACAGATAACATAGTTTAGAAGCAACTCAGATATTGAAATTTTCAAACATAAACTTTAATATAATTGTGATTAATATGTCAAGAATATGAATGATGAGATGGAGAAATGCACCACATTGCTGGGGAAAATGTATACATATATAACAATATATATAAAACTCTGCATGTGTATTTCAATAATCTGGTCAATATAATGTAAATTTTAGAACAAAATACATGAATGCCATTAAATTAAAAAATAATAGGTTTAGAAGTGTATTAGAATAAAAGGAAGAGATTACCAATGCACTGGAAAACTGTCTAGACTGAAACACAGAGAGAAAGAAAACTGATAGATAAACAAAAAGAAAGGCAAGAGACATATGGGATGCATAAAATAACACAAGAATTATCAAAAGTAGATAAGAAAGAAATAGGAATAATTCATATTCAAAAAGATAATCACTAAGAATATTCCTAAGTTGATGAAAGATATTAAGCCACACATTCAAGAAGCACAACAAACTTCATGTAGGATAAATACAGATAAAACTAAACTTAATGCACATTGTAGTAACACTGTTAAAACTCTAAGACAAAAATAAAATCTTTAAGAATGAGAAAAAAGATTATCTTTAGGTGAACAAAAGCATAATGATCAACTTACTAATCACTGAAGAAGAAAAAATAATACATCTTAGCAAAATTGATGTAAAAAACTACTGGTCTAGAAATCTATTTTCAGTAAAAATGTTATTCACAAGTGAAGACAAATAGAAGTATCTCCAGTCAACAAAAATGAAAAGGAAATTCATCATCAACAATCACACACAAAAAGTAATATTAAACAGTGTTCTTCAGACAGGAGAAAAATTATGTCAAGTAGAAAGGATAGAACGTAATGGTAACTATGGTAATGATATGAGTAAATCTAAATATTGACAGTAGGAAACAGTAATTGTAGTTTGTTATGTAGGTCAAAATCAATGTAGAAATGAATATATGAACAAAGAACACCCAAGGCAGGAGGAAGTAAAAGAAGTTAATGTAATGTATTATAAGGCCAGACAATTGTCTGGGATGTGATATATTAGTTATTTATATTGGATGCTACTAAGTTAAGGTGCATTTGTTCATGAAACCATTAAACAAATAATAAAAATATTTTATCATAAATAACCCTATAGATGAGGCAATGAAACCCTACTGAAACTTGACTGATACAAAGAAAAAGGGAAGGACATACAACATGTAGAAAACAAATTGGATCAATTTACATCAAATGTAAATAAAGTAAAACTTCCATTATAAAGTCACAGATTATCAGAATGATTTTTTTGTTTTGATTTTTTTTTTTTTTGAAACAGAGTCTTGCTCTGTCGCACGGGCTGGAGTGCAGTGGTGCAACTTGGCTCACTGCAACCTCTGCCTCCCGGGTTCAAGCAATTCTTCTGCCTCAGCCTCCCGAGTAGCTAAGATTACAGCCATGTGCCACTATACCTGGCTAATTTTGTATTTTAGTAGAGACGGGGTTTCACCATATTGACCAGGCTGGTCGTGAACTCCTGACCTTGTGATCCGCCTGCCTTGGCCTCCCAAAGTGCTGGGGTTACAGGCATGAGCCACTGTGCCCCGCCATCAGAATGAATTTTTATGAAGAAAAACTATATTCTGTGTGGAAGAAAGACATTTTAATTAAGGGAAAAGGAACATGGAAAATGAAAGTATAGAACATTTGTCATGCAACGAATTTTAAAAAAAGAAATAAGGAGGAGCTATATAAATATCAAACAAAATAAACCATAGGGCATGAATTACTCCTGGAGATGAAGAGGAATACTTCAAAATAATATGGAGGCCGATAAACCAGGAAAATGTAACAATCACAAATATTATGCAACTATTAACATAGTATTATCATTATAAAGCAAGAATTAACAGAATTAGCAAATCTACAAATAGTCATCAAAATGGGAGACTTTATCACACCTCTGTCAGTAAGTGAATGAGCAACAAAAAAATGTAGAAAGAATTTATAAGATCTGAAAAACCCTATTTTCTCAATTAACTTCATTAACATATACGGAACATAGCACACAACTGCAGAATGTACATTTATTTTAACTTCATAAAAACCTTTGCTAAATATACATCAAGTCTGAGGGATGTAGCAATACCCTGAATATATAATAATGTGTTACCTTAAATGCATATGGTTTAGTTATTTGTCACTGCATGATAGACTACCTCAAAACTTCACAGATTTACAAAACAAATAATTCATTTATTTTCAAGAGTCTCTGGATTGTCTGAAATCATCTAGCCATTTTTTTCTTAGGGTTTCTTTTCTTTTCTTTTCTTTTTTCTTTTGAGACGGAGTCTTGCTCTGTCGCCCAGGCTGGAGTGCAGTGGCGTGATCTCGGCTCACTGCAACCTCCACCTCCACCTCCGGGGTTCATGCCTTTCTCCTGCCTCAGCCTCCCTAGTAGCTGGACTACAGGACTACAGGCGCCGGCCACCACGCCCGGCTAATTTTTTTTTTCTTTATTTTTGTATTTTTAGTAGAGACGGGGTTTCACCGTGTTGGCCAGGATGGTCTCGATCTCCTGACCTCGTGATCCGCTGGCCTTGGCCTCCCAAAGTGCTGGGATTACAGGCATAAGCCACCGTGCCCGGCCTTTTCTTGGGGTTTCTGTTCAACACTGACAGATATAGTCACTGTTGTCTAAGGTTGCAGTCCCACTGGGCTCTAAGCGAATGGTTTAATAACATGGCTATTGGTGAATATAGATGGTTGTTTAAAAACTCATATGGGCTCGTATGAGAACGGAAGATTTTAGTTCTCCATTATATTATCTCCCATTATCAAGCTCATGGCTTGAGCTTCTTGTACCACAGTAGCTGGATTTCAAAAGCAAAAATTCCAGGAATAATTTTGGTACCAACTCTTACAGTAACTTTTTCAGCTATCTTTGTGGATAATAATGCAATTCTTATTTATGAGTTCAGTACTTCTCAACAAATCCATTTTTATTTTTACTTTATGATATTCTGAAACTAAGAACTATAATGATGTAAATAAATACTAGAACTAATGGAGTCCATGAAATAAAGGAGAGTAAGCCAGATAATCTACATGGTGTTTATGTTCAGATGTGAACGTTAGAAGTATACCTCTTCTCGGCCGGGCGCGGTGGCTCAAGCCTGTAATCACAGCACTTTGGGAGGCTGAGGCAGGCGAATCATGAGGTCAGGAGATCGAGACCATCCTGGCTAACACGCTGAAACCCCTTCTCTACTAAAAATACAAAAAATTAGCCGGGCGTGGTGACGGGCGCCTCTAGTCCCAGCTGCTCAGGAGGCTGAGGCAGGAGAATGGCATGAACCCGGGAGGCGGAGCTTGCAGTGAGCCGAGATCGCTCCACTGCACTCCAGCCTGGGCGACAGAGCGAGACTCCGTCTCAAAAATAAAAAATAAATGAGAGTACTAAATAAATAATTTATATTTTATGTCTTCCACATGTTTTGACTTAGAGTTAAGTTGTAGCATGATAAAAAAAAAGGGAAAAAGTTTTTCTCTTAGTAAGTGTAACCTAAAAATAGTGCTTAAATTTATATGAAATCTCACATTGCACTATTTTGAATGCCTTTTCTATCTCCAATGTTAATAAACTGCCTCAATTTATTTTTCCTACAAGAAATTTGCAGAGAAGAGGAGTTAAGCATACCAAGTTAATAACACAAATGTTTGGAAATTAGTATGGTTATACTAAAAATTAAGGTAAAAACTTGTGCTTATTGAACTTTGGCCATCCAAACTTCGCTTACAATTTTAAGGTTTAATCTTTAGGTTTTCTCCTGTTACTGCATATCAAGTATTTAAAGTCATTCGAAACTACCCATCAGAAACATTTAACTTCCAGTGACACTGTGCTGTATTTTATTCAATATGATGTCTCTTCTAAATGAAATATAAGACTAAAGTAACAGTGTTTCCTTTCTTTGAAATCAGGTTTTCATTATAGAGCTGACCTTTAAATGTCCCATTTTGTTAGGCAAACAACATTATTTGAAATTAGTCACAGGTTTCTTGTTCTGTGTAAGCAAAGCTTGATTACAAGCCTTTCCATAAAGCTTCTATTCGGTTTAATAATTCATACTTCTCTGCTTATCAGCTTTAGAACTCTAAAGGAGGCATTTGCCTATAAATCTTTCCTACTGCTACATTTTATTTTAATTCACAGCAACAGAACACTAACATAATTGGTGCAATCTGTTATTTACAGATATGTGGTGAGACGCAGGTGGCAAAGTCATTTTTAGTGTTGTAAGGAAAAGTAAGACCTTCTTTCACAACTTGAGTTATGTGAATAAAAATTGTTCCTGGGTTAGGGTAGCAGCCATTGTCACTAAGGTTGTTCTCTAATTTCTGAAGTAAATCTTTTCCGTATGGAATCCTTTTCAAGTCCACTCTGCACCAGAATGTGTATTTTGTGTTTCTTAAAAAAGGGGCCCCATAAAGAAATGTTATTGGGTTTTGTATTTGTAATTCTTAACAAATATCCAGAATAAATTGGTTTATGATTTTGTTCTAATAAAATTATCTGCAAATGCTTTCTAAAATCTAAAACACAAATCATGCTTTTTTGCCCCATCATAACTTCTAGATTTAAATTTTCCAAAATCAAAGCTCAGTTGCTTCATTCATCACACAGACCTTTGATACATTTCCATTGTTTGTTTAAATGAACATCCCAATAAACATTTTTTAAAATAGTAACTCTGTAATGACTCAGTTGAAAATTTTATCATATAATACAAGTCCACGTTCAATTGACTACAATCTTTGAGGTCAAATATAATTTGGACATCAGAACTTCTTACATGTTATAAAGGCAATATAAGTGTATATTGCATGTTATACAGAACTTCAGCACCGTGTAATTGTGGGATAGAGAGCCTCATTTTAATTTAATCAGGGTTTGCCCCAATCTTCTATTTTTTTAAGATTCAGCTTTTGGAAATTGTGAGTAAGTGATTACATTCTTTAATATTCTCTCCCTCCCTCCCTCCCTCCCTCCCTCTCTTCCTTCCTTCCTTCCTCCCTCACTCCCCCACTCCCTCTCTCTCTCTTTCTTTCCTTCCTTCCTTCCTTCTTTTCTTTTCTTTTCTTTTCCTTCCTTCCTTCCTTTCTTCCTTCCTTCCTTCCTTCCTTCCTTCCTTCCTTCCTTCCTTCCTTCCTTCCTTTCTTTTTCTTTCTTTCTTTCTCTGTTCTTAACTTGCTGATACTCTAGCAAAGCCACAGGGGGATTTTGTTGTTGTTGTTATTTTTGTTGGTGGTGGTTTTGCTCACTGATGTTTATGAAGTGTTTACAACAGTGAGTGGAAGATATAAACACCCAAAAGATAATTGTTGAATGAATTGTATGAATGAACATGTGGGTACATTTTATTTCCATTCAACTGCCACTTGTTAAGCACAAAGCATTATCCAGTTATCGGGGAACTAAGAATTTATAATAATGTAAGGAAGTAAATATATAACATAGTAAAAAATAGCACTTATTGAAATTTACATTGTGCCAGTAGTTTTCATAGTGTCTTGCGAAATTCTCAAAATAAGTTTGGGATATGCTTACTATTATTTCCCTTAAATTGTGTATGTAAAACTGAGAACTTAGAAAGGATAAAAGACTTGTCAAAGATGTCACAAATGGTAATATCAGAACTAGACTTTGAACACAGGCAATTTGACTTTGAAGCCCACAGCATTAAGGATCTAGATATAGTGAACATGTCAGCAAGTAGGTGATAATGCAATTCAGTATGTTAATAAGGATAAAAAAAGATTTTTAAAAGTATAAAAAGGTTTCACATAATAGCATGGTTGTAATGGGTGGAATAATGAAAGAGAGCTTCACTGAGGTGGCAGGCAGGAAAGGATAATTATTGATAGATATATGTAGGATTTAGAGAGGTGTAATGTTGAGAAAAACTACCACATAGACTCAAGGTCCAGAGTGAGGAATTTCTAAACATGCTAACATATGTATTCATGGTACTGAAGGAAGAAAAGCTAATCTTGAGAAAATCCAAAATTTATAAAAAGAAGGTAATCCCCAAAACACAACACCATAAAGCATCTTTTGTGGCTCGACATCTTTTCACAACTGCTGCTTTATTTCTATATTTATCTCTATATAAAACTTATGAAGAGAATATTCAATACTTTCCATATCAGTTTATCACCTCATGCTTGGTTCTACTCCAAGAAGATTGTCACCATAATTCACTATTGTGATAATCATCAGTAATAACTATTTGTCAAATTTAATGGTCAATACTCAGTCTCTATCTTATTATGACTCAGTAGTATTTGAAAATTTTCTAGCAACCTTATTGAAATTTTGTTTCACTTGACTTATTATATGTATCATTACGTGTATATTTCTCCTCCTTCCCTTCTTACTAATACTTTATGTTTTTTGCTGGAGTATCTCTTCATATTTCTAAATGCTCAGCAGCTCATGCTCAGTTTTCCAATAATCTTTCTTTTTTCTCTTTCTCCTCTCTCTCTTTCTCTCCTCCCTCCTTCCCTCTCTCTTTTTCTTTTTTCTTGTTTTGTTTCTTTCTCTTTCTTTTCTTTCTTTTTCTTTCTTTTCTTTCTTTTTCTCTTTCTTTCTTTCTTTTCTTTCTTTTCCTTTCTCTCTTGCTTTCTTTCTTCCCCTCTCTTTTCCTTCCTTCCTTCCCTCCCTCCCTCCTTTCTTTCTTTCTTACTTCCCTCCCTCCCTCCTTTCTTTCTTTCTTTCTTTCTCTCTCTTTCTTTCTTTTTCCTTCCTTCCTTCCTTCTTTCTCTTTCTTTCTTTTTCTTATTTATGATTCCATACAGGTTTAGCTACAAATAGTTGATCTCCAAATTTATAGCCTGGGCTGGGTGCGGCAGTTCACACCTGTAATCCCAGCACTTTGGGAGGCCGAGGCAGGCCAATTGCTTGAGCTCAGAATTTCGAGACCAGCCTGGGCAACACGGTGAAACCCGATCTCTACAAAAACACAAAAATTATCTGGGCAAAGTTGCACACATCTGTAGTCCCTGCTACTTGGGAAGTTGAAGAACACTTGATCCCAGGAAGTTGAGGATGCAGTGATCCATGATCGTGCCACAGCACTCCAGCCTGAGTGACAGAGTGAGAACTTCACACACACACACACACACATACACACACACACACACACACACACACAAATTATAGACTGATGTATATAATAATCATGGAATTCAAGAAGTTTACAACTAAATACCTGCCAACATTTCCTCTCTAGGGTCTTAACATAACCAAAACATTACTTTTCTCTGTAAACAAATTTCTGCTCCAGTTTTTTCTGTCTTGCCATTCACCATTTGTCCAATTGCTCAAACCCGGAAGTCACCCTTCATTCCTTTTTTCCACTTTTATCCTGAGCCCAATTAATACATTTTGACAAATTAACTTTTTAAAAATGTATTTTTAACTGACAAATAATAATTGTACATATTTCTGGTGTATATCATGATGTTTTGAAATATGTATATAGCATGGAATGGCTAAATCAAGCTAATTAACATATACATTACCTCACATATTAATATAATCTTTTTTTGTAATGAAGACACTTAAAATTTACTCTCAGCAATTTTCGAGTATAAAATACGTTGTTATTAACTATAATTACCATGTTGTAAAAAAGGTCTCTTGAACTTACTCCTTTTGTCTTACTAAAATTTTGTATCTCTTGACAAATATCTCCCCATTTCTTCCTCCCCCAATCTCTGGTAACCACCATTCTACTTTCTGCTTCTATGAGTTTGACTTTTAGATTCCACGTGTAAATGATAACGTGCTATACAGTTGATGCTTGAATAATATGGGTGTGAACTGTGCAGGTCCGTTTATATGCAGACTTTTTTCAACCAAACTCAGATACAGTAATTCAGGGATGCAAAACTTGCACATAAGTAGGGCTGACTTTTGGTATACATGGGTTCCTCGGGGCCAACACTGAATTTGAATATGCATGGATTTGGTTGTACACCACAGGGTGAGATAGTGGTCCTGGAATCAATCCCCCAAAGACACTGTGTTTGTCTTTCTGTGGCGGGCTTACTTCACTTAACATAATATCCTCCAGGTTCATCTATGTTGTTGCAAATAATAGGATTTCTTTGTTGTTTAGGACTGAATAGTAATCCATTGTGTGTTCATACCACATTTTCTTTATGCATTCATTCACTGATGCACACTTAGGTTGATCATATTTCTTGCCTATTGTGAATTATGCTGCAATAGACATGGGAGTGCAGATATCTCTTTGACCTGCTGATTCTATTTTTTGGATACATAGATGAATCAACTTTCAAAGTATATCTTGAATCAAACCTTTTTCCTTCATTGTTGCCACTACCATCCTTGTCTGAGCTGTTGTCATCTCTCCCATCATCTACATCAATGCCCACCTTAATAGTTTAATTCTGATCTAGTTCAGTCTCCATGCTGCCCGTTAAAGTAGTCTTTTAAAATCTTAAATAACATCACTTCGCTACCATACTCAAAACATTTTGGTGGTTTTCTATCACATTTAAAACAATGTCGGCCGGGCGCGGTGGCTCACACTTGTAATCCCAGCACTTTGGGAGGCCGAGGCGGGCGGATCACGAGGTCAGGAGATCGAGACCAGCCTGGCTAACACGGTGAAACCCCGTCTTTACTAAAAATACAAAAAAATTAGCCGGGCGTGATGGCGGGCGCCTGTAGTCCCAGCTACTCGGGAGGCTGAGGCAGGAGAATGGCATGAACCCGGGAGGCGGAGCTTGCAGTGAGCCGAGATTGCGCCACTGCACTCCCGCCTGGGCCACAGAGCGAGACTCCGTCTCAAAAAAAAAAAAAAAAAAAAAAAAAAAACAATGTCTAACTTCCTAATGCAGGCTACAAGGCCTCATACTATTTAACTTTTAACCTAAACTTCTTCCTGCTTTAGCTATGCTAACTCTGTCTGGATCACACTGTCCTTCTTGAAATTTCTTAAGTTTGTTAAGAAATTAGAGTTATTTCCTGCCTCAGAGAGTTGAACTTCTGTTTCTTTCACCAGAATGTTCTCCCTTTTCACATTGTCACCGTGCTGTTCATGTCTTCATTTAGAGTTCTACTTAAATATTTCTTACTCATACAGGCTTTCCCTGACCACCTTATTAAAAAGAGAAAGCCCACTACAATTCTACTCACTCTCTATTCCCTTACTTTGTTTTACTCATTCTTCATATTACTCATCACTACTTTAAATTAGCTGCATAGGCCTCCTGGTGTATTGATTCAACTAGAAGTGCCTGTTATTGATAAGAGAAGCTATCCATGCCTTAAGAGACACAGATGTTTTGTCATATTTATCATAAAAGGTATCATATTAGTGACACGAAGAACCAGCTGTGCCTTTACCAAAGTATAGGATGCAGTAAGCTTCCTGAACATTCCTATGTTTTGTACAATTAAGATGTTTAAATAAAAATATATATGAACTAATATAATGAACAATGTTTAGTATTTTTAGTAAGTATTTCAATTTTTCTTAACGCTCATAAATTTACTATTAAGCATAGATTACCTGTGACATTACTGATTTTCTTTCAATTAATATTGCACATCTCAAATGTGCCAAACAAGGGAACAGATCTTAGATGAATAAAGCAAGTTCCCTTCTCTGAGGTGCTCTTAGAGTAGTAGGAATAAAATATTTGAATACAACTAACAATTAATAATATGAATGTAGTCTAAAGAAACGTGTATATTTATATATAAATTTTGAAAGACTGTGATGTTGCAGATCTCAGTGATTAGGTATAATGAGAGCCTTTAATTTCAGGCTTAAGTTGACTTGCAGTTTTTAAGAATTCAGTCACAATTTAAAATATAGATTTAAATTAGAACATCCATTTATATAAAAGCCTATCAGCAAAGTATATGTGAACTCATATTTCTAAAATGTATTAATTATGGCACAATTTCACAATTATAGCCCAGGAATTATTATAATAATCTTTTTGCCATAAGAAACTGTTCATTTGTGCAGACCACATTCAGAACATCTTGGAACAATTGCCTTTCTACTCCAAATCAGAAAGTATCTTGAATTATTTGCTTCAGGTTGACATCTTTGCTGATGTCTATATTGTAAAGGGAAATGATCAAAGTGGTAACAACAGAGAAATAAATATTCTCTTGTTCTGTATAATTCTCAGGAGTAAATGTATTATTTCTGTCCTAAGCCATTTTTGTAAACTATGTCATTTAAAGTCCCTTTGTAAGAACAGACATGACCATAGCAAATAACATTGTAGGGCTTTGCTATTATTCTCACACAAAGATTTCTTAGAATAATCTGATTCATATTTTCTAGCTCCTACAAAAGCAAACTCTGTTTGAACAGTATAGGTATGTATTTATTCTGTTGTTACACTTGTGTCCACAATAGTTGAATAGAATCCCTATTTCTCTAAATAATTATACAATCAATTGATTCGCATTCCAGAGAACTGACACCTACATTCTTAACTATCAAACTATTTTATAACTAGTTTGAATGGGTAACCTTTAAAATAAACATGTATCATAAATGTAATTTAATCTTTTCACCTTGCCTGTAAGGAAACAACATATGAAAATAAGAAATATGAGCATAGTAAAATCAAGAACAAGTAAAATGAGAATCGTGGCTATTTTTAAAACATGTACTATGTACCAGGCACTGGATAAGTGTTTTGCTTTTTTTTTTTTTTTAAACCCATAGCAACCTATAACATACATGATATATATTATGTTTATCCTTTTTCGAAAGATATGGAAACAAGAACAGTAAAATTACATGGTTTTTCATAATCATTTAACTAACAAGGGAGTTGTTATTCAAATCCAGACAAGTTGACATAATGACTCAAGTCTTAACATTCACACTCTTATTAAACTTTCATTTATTTATTCATTCATTTGCATTTTTCCTGTTAACAATGTATAAGACTATGCTGTTGTCACATGCAGATTGTCAACTTGTGATTCCCCACACCTACCTATTTTAGCTGTGTCATCTTGAGAGACATCTTGTTGTCAAGAGAGATTACACACACTCTTTGCCTTAATTTCTTCATCAACAAGATGGAAATAGCAAAAAGAACAAACTATATAGGACAGTTAAATGAGATACAGATGTTCAACAGTTCACAGAATGGGTAATTATTCAATAAGTGTTAGATATCATTTTAAATTTAAGACGTATTTATGGAGCACCATCAATATGCCAGGAACTTTGCTTGTCACTAGGCAGGATAGAATTCCCTTGGCTCTGCTACTAAAATCACCAGTGTTAATGACATATTAGTGTATTAGTGACATATAATCTTTCTACACCTATTTATGCCTTCTGCATATCTGTACCTATCATTTATTTGGCATACATATTCTGAGCATTTAATATATGCTAGCTGCTAGGTGCTGGAAGAGTCAGTGATGTATGTGTCCAAACCTACTGTTTAGACATATCTAGGCATGTCTTGGGAACTGATGAGGTAAATCTAATTCACATCAATTTGCATGAAGTGAGAACACATCCTAAAGGAAAACTAATAACTAAAACTCATTGAGTATTTAATAATGCCATTTTGATTTAAATGCTGCCCATGTACACAGGCAAGCAAATTTAATCCCATGGATCTCTGCAGGTGGTACCACTTTTTATTGGAGTACACATTTTATGTGGCTGAATTTTTTACCAGCTTTATTGAAGTACAACTGATATACAAATAACTGTATATATTTCATGTACACAATGTGATATGTTTGGTAACATTGTATTATTGATTTTATACATATGGGATATGAGGCACAAGGAGGTTAAATAATTTGCCAAAGATCACTCAACAACTGTGTAGTAAAGTCCATGTCCAAACACAGTCAATAAGGCTTAGAACCTACACTTTTTTTTTTTTTTGAGGTGAAGTCTCGCTCTGTCACCCAGGCTGGAGTACGGTGGCGTGATCTCAGCTCACCGCAAGCTTCGCCTCTTGGGTTCATGCCATTCTCCTGCCTCAGCCTCCCAAGTAGCTGGGACTACGGTTGCCTGCCACCAAGCCTGGCTAATTTTTTGTATTGTTAGTAGAGACGGGGTTTCACCATGTTAGCCAGGATGGTCTCGATCTCCTGAACTCGTGATCCTCCCGCCTAGGCCTCCCAAAGTGCTGGGATTACAGGCGTGACCCACAGGGCCTGGCCAGAATCTACACTCTTAGCCATAATACCATACGATCAATTTTGGACCCAGAACAAGGTGTCATAATACAGAGTTGAAAAAGATTCCTTGTATAGCATGATGTTTGACAATTAGTTGCTCACTATAAATTCCCCATAGATTTCTAGTATAAGAGAATGAGTAAAAGCAGGGATTTTTTTTTTCTGAAATTTTTTTTGATCATTTATAATATTTAATATTTAGAGCAGTCACAATATGCCAATCATTGTTCTAAACAATATATATGTATATGTGTGTATGTATATACATACGTACATTTATTTAATCTTCATAACAAACATAACCATTTTATAGATGAGGTAGTTGAGGCCAAGATTGTCTTTTGTCTAGTTGGGTTTAGTGGGTTGTTTTGTTTTGTTTGGCTCATATGTATTACTGCTCTAGGCAGTATTAATTAATTGATTAATTTCTTTAACATTTATTATTTTGAAATAAACGCTGGTACTGCTTGTCTTTACTAACTATAAAAGTTATTTTTTCTTTCAATTAAAACTATTATGCATCTACAATGTGCTCCCCATACTTCTAGGAGCTCACAATCTAGTGGGAGACAGGGATTTCAACAGACATTACAAGTTAAAATTGTAGGTAAGAAAATAAAGCCGTGCATAAGACATATAGAGGGTTGTATTACTCATGGTTCTCCAGAGAAATAGAACCAATAGGATACTTGTAAATATATATAAAAGCAGACTTATAGGAATTGGCTCATGCATTAGGAAGGCCAAGAGGTCTCATGATCTCTGTGGTTTAAGAGGTGATTTTCTATTAAAGTAAGGTATAAAATACATGAGAAGGGGATTCTATTCCATGTCATCACAATCACACAACCTTGACACATAGAAGTTTCTTATGGATAGGATGTCTGGCTAGAGAGAGCAGTACCTGAAAAACAGAGCAATGGTGTTGAACAGAGGGAGTAGTAGAGTCAGTCATTCAGCCAATTCATCAACAGTGCTACAAGTGGAGATGATGCTGCCCAAGCAAGGCGGCATAGTGTCGGTAACCAGCAGAATCAGCAGTGATGTGTGAAAATGATACAGCGTCAGTAGACATGGTGGTACACGTGGAGAAAGGATCAAAGCCAAAGAAGCAACAATGAAAAAATTAGGTCTGGTGGTAAATCTAATGAGCCAGAAGTATCCTTGAGCTCATGTGTAATATCCTCCAGGATTCCCAGGAATAATTGTGGGAATATTTTAGGCGGCAGAAGAAGAATATTTTAGGCGGCCAGGAATAACTGTGGGAATATTTTAGGTGGCACTAGATTTTGATGATGATTTTGCTTTTATCTTAACGTGGCATTGCAAAAACTCAGATGTCATAAGGTATAGTCTTTGCCCTTAAGAAACA
Organism: Homo sapiens; assembly: GCF_000001405.40. Taxonomy (NCBI): domain Eukaryota; kingdom Metazoa; phylum Chordata; class Mammalia; order Primates; family Hominidae; genus Homo; species Homo sapiens. The sequence continues at coordinate 39,212,347 of NC_000011.10, read as the reverse complement.
TGGTCTTTGAGGTGAGACAATCAAGCAAATACTTACTTGAAACATGGCTCTTGAGTTACACACCACATTCAGTTGTAACACAATCAGTGAGGAGGAGGAGAACTCCCCAGTCTCAACATTTCTTATACCTTGTTCTGCAACATTCCTCCCAAAAGTTTTTCTTTCATTGCTCTGATTGCAGCTGGAGTGTTTGTGTTGCATGAATTAAGCCTGAATCTTAGTTCACGAAGGTAAATTTCTTCTGCATTTTATGTATTTGCTCCTTCTCTCATTTCATGCCAGGCAGGAACACAAGATAGAGGAGGAGAAATAAGTGCAGTCAATTCTTCTTATTCCTGGTAGTTATGTTCTATAAAGCAACTGCAAACCATGAATTAGCAAATACTGAGCTATGGCTGCTAGGGGAAATACAGAATTGGGTCCCTGCGAGCCTCTGGTCACAACAATTAATATATATTGTTGATTCATTATCTTTGAACCCACAGCCAGCAATACTGTAACTCATGCCAGAATGAATATTATCTAACATATGTGTTTTCTCTGTAAGTTACGTCCCAGCCTTTCTGAGCTAAGGAACCCTAAGCAGCACTTCAGCACTATGCAAGCAGGCCACTTTAAAAAGTAGAATTACCAACAAAAAGCACAAAATGTGAATAACTTGACAACAGCACAAAAGGACACAGTATGAGAGCAGAAACCAGAAGCCAGAGTACCTGAGTATCTCTTATTTGATCTCAACTAGGAAGGTGTGTGCACGACCACATATAATGTCTCACTCTGTCTGCAAATGACTGTGAAAGCACAACATATTTTAATTTTGGAGTTACAAACAAATTTTGGTAAATAGGTAAATCTGCAAATATAGAAGTTATGAATAATGAGAATTGACTGTATTGGGTGAATAGCATCATGTCATTAATTTCCTTAAAATCTTATTTTTACTTAAAAACTGACTCTAACTGGGACCCTAGTAATAAATAAAACTGAAAACATTTTAATCAGTTAAATGAGATATCTTTGATCACAGCTTATAAAACATTAGAAAATACACAAAATTATTTCAAATCAATTCTTGATAATGATATAACTATCACTCACATTTTACCTGATATTTTATAATTAATAAGTGTTTGTGCATCCAGTGCATATACATTTTAGTCTTCCTGGTAAAGTTTTGAGTTTGGTATTTTAATCTCCGTGTTTGAAGAAGAAAACATACACAGTCTTCTTCTGAAGAAATTGCTCCATGTTCTTTTTTGAACAAAGTATATTAAACAAAGTACATTAAACAAAGTACAATGATATGTCATTGATGTTTAATTATTTTTCTATTTATCTTTTAGCCATATCATAGTAGTTTTGAAACTCAGCATTGTGAGTTATTATAAAATTGCTAACACAGATTCCTGTACAGTGATTTTTTCCTCACAGATCCTAGTAATAAACTTCTATCATCAAAGATAAACTGTGTTTGTATACTACTTGAGTCAAGAACATAGTTAATTATGGCCAAGGCAATTGACGCTCTAAGAGTTTGAATGAACTGGCTAAGGTCACACAGGCAGAACTGACACTAGCCACAGACCCAACATATCCAACTTCAAAACTGCTCATGCGTATTAAACAAAGGCTTTTCTATTTTGTTTATGCTGGCACCTTAAAAGGGCCCAGAATTGGCACATGTTCTACACGGCTTCAGTGAAAAAATAAAATTTACTCCATGCTAAAAACCCACTATAAAAGAGGAAATCAATTTTATCCCCAGGCATGTACACTCACTGTAAATTTCTACCTTAATTTAAAATTTCATTTTGTTTTTCTTGTTTATCTCCTCCCTTTTCATCAACAACTTTTACATCAAAAGAGATTTAGCACACTAAACTTCACTTGTGGGGAATACTCCCTTTTCAACAACTTTTAAATCAAGAGATTTGGCATACTAAACTTCACTCGTGGGGGAAAAAAAACCTTCCATCTATAAATGGAAGATAACATGTTCACAGATAAAAAGAAAACTTATCTTTAACCTCAGGCTTGCTAAGTAAAACCTTACAAGGACAAAACACTTGACTTTATATTAATCAAGAAGCAGCCTCCCTAGGCAAGAGAGACCTGAACAGGTTGGATTCATGATGTGATGCTTGTGAAGTGTCTCGAAATATTGTCACCCCTGCTGAGACTCCTGATGCTGCCACTTCTAATGCCAAACCCGCTGTCTCTCCATGTTGCCCTCTTGTTCAAGCCACTTTACAGCCCTGTCCAATAAGCCAAGAAACACTCTAAAAATCTGACTGTTCCAAGTAAAATAAAAGCATTTTTAGCAACAAAATTATGAACTGCAGGGGCTAAAGATCAGTAATCATGATTAATTATACTCTAGAACATGGTTCTAGAAAAAGAGATCTGAAAAAAATGCAGACCAGAAAGCTAAGAATATGATGAATATGGAGTTAAAGAAAAGTCAATCTCCAAATCATTAGGATTGAAAACAAAAAAATTAAGGTGTCTGTGTAATGGTGAATATTGGCATAATATTTTAATGGTGATCATCTTTACAGTTGCCTAAATATTAGTATAATAAATAAGATTGAAGTAGTTAGACTAGGTTATAATAATTTATATAAATTAGGTTCATGTCCACAAATTAGATTATATGAGCTATAGAAAAGTACCTTATAGTTTAGGTCCACGAAGTTAGATAAACATGTATTTAATTGTGTTTTACAACTCGTTTGTACATGTAGAGATTGTTTAGAATTGTTATACTTAATCTTTTGCACCTTGTTTTCTTGATATAGAATACATATAATAAAATAACCTATGCCATGGATTTATTGCATAGGTAAAATTGGAAAAATCGGATTAAAATTTTAAAAATTCTATATTCAGAAACAGAATTATACTAAGATAAGACCTCATTGTCGGTTTTAGACCATAGCCAGAAAATTTTTAAGCTAGATATCAGATCACATAACTGCTTGGTTTTAAAATTGTTAAAAGGCTGGGCATGGTGGCTCAAGCCTATAATCCCAGCACTTTGGGAGGCCAAGGTTGGGAGGCCGAGGTCAGGAGTTCGAGACCAGCCTGACCAACATAGTGAAACCCCATCTCTACTAAAAATACAAAAATTAGCTGGGTGTGGTGGTGCGTGCCTGTAATCCCAGCTACTTGGGAGGGTGAGGCAGGAGAATCACTTGAATCTGGGAGGCAGAAGTTGCAGTGAGCTGAGATGGTGCCACTGCATTCTAGCCTGGGTGACAGAGTGAGACTCTGTCTCAAAGAAATAAAAAACAAAAATAAAAATAAAATCGTTAAAAGGCCATCATTAGGATGGAAATGAGAATAAGGTCTCAAATCCTTAGCATTGTGAAAAGTCTTTCCTAACTCTATCTACATCTTCATCTGCCAACACTGTACTCGCTGCTCTGTTCCAGGACCCCTACCACCCCAGGTTTCTTTTGCTCTTTAAAATATAACATAATTCCTACCATTCATGAGTCCTAGGCCCTTTACTGGAATTTTCCATTTTTTAAATTTTTTTTCATCCTTTGGATCCTTCAACATTTCCATTTTTTAAATATTTATTTAATGCTTACTATATGCTAAATATTTTCAGTTCTTTTCCTGTATTACCTTACTTAATATTTATAAAACTGTATGTTATAGAAATAATTACTACTTCCATTTTAATGATGAGGACACTAAGGCAGAGAACGTAAGTAAATTGTCCAATGTTATGCTCGTTGTAAAGGAGAGAGTAGAGATTTTGAGTCCTTGGTATTTACTAGGATGCTATCTAACTAGGGAAAAATTTCTTCCTGCTCCCAGTGGATCACATCACACTGGTATATGTTTTCATATTTTCCTATTTTATTTCCTCCTGGCACTGAGTATAGTTCATAATAATACTTTCATTTGGGAGTTGGTTCACCAATAGTAGTTTATCAAATGATCCCTGGAGTCAGACAACCTGGGTTTGAAATATGACCCCACTACCTACTGAATGAGTTGGGCAAGTTATTCTATGATCAGCTTGTTATTTGTAAAGTATTGATGATAATATCACCTGAGGCATAGTGTTATTGTTACAGCTAAGATAATATATGTCTAACAGTCCAGCTATAGGGACCAAGATCCTAACCACTGTGTGATATGCCAATCTAAGCCAACAGATGGAGAAGACTATTGCCAAACTAATGAAGAAATGTATAAACCAGAAAAAGCTAGATGAAAATGTGAAGAGAAACAAGACGTTTGCATAGTCTCAAAGTATTTTTCCTGGACATTTATTGATAATAAAGAACACAATACAAGCTTAACAATGGAGGACCCCAGAAAACAAAACATTAACCAAATGATAAAGTTTAATATTATTGGTAGAAATGCCATCACGTGCTCTCTCAAGTGATGTACGGATATATGTAACATGTCTTTGATATTTTTGTCTAAATTTGTGACATCAGTCTAATCATGAAAAAACATCAGACAAATACAAATTCAGGAACATTCTACAAAATAATTGACCACTACTCTTCAAAAACATCAAGTTGTGAAAGACAAGAAAAGTTAAGAAATTGTCTAAGATTGAAGTAAACTGAGACATAAAAATTAAATGCAATTTATGATCCTGGAGCAGAACAAAGTGCTAATAGAGGGAAAAAACAGTAAATTTTGAATAAGGTCTGTATTTTTGTAATGAATGGTATTGCACCAAAACCAATTTTCTAGTTTTCACAACTGCACTATAGTTATATAAGGTATTTACATTAGTGCAATCTAGATAAAGGGTTTGTTTTTTATTTTTGCCAATTTTTTATTATCTATAATTATTTGAATATTAAAAACGTGAGAGAGAGAGAGGGAGATAAAGAGAGAAAGAGACAAGGGGAGAGGGAGAGACCTAGACACCACATGTCAAAGGAGAAGCCCAACTGCAAGTTAAATAAGCATTTTGAATTTGACTCATAGATGTAGCTGAAACATAATTTTAGTCTTAGAGGGCTGGGGTCAGTTTCAGGTCTGCAGCTGAGACTATGGGCTCACTGACCATAGTCCCACACCGAGCATGGGCCTACCTTCTCAAAATGTTCCTCTTCCGTTGGCTACTCCAGATTTTTGTTAGACTACCTCCTACCTAGATCCCAAAGCTACCTCCAAGTCATTTTTCTTCATGAATAGCTGCCAAATTATTGCTGCTGTGGGAAGATATGAGAGAGGAACCTCCTATTTTGCCATCCTGCTGATGTCACTCCCAAACGACCTCTGTGTCTGCTATTTTGCTGTCAGCTTTCTTTGTTGGAGTTGTCAAGGTACCTTTCATCAAATAAACAGTATTATTTATTTTTGTATCAGCCACAGCACATGGTGAGCACTCAAGAATTTGTTGAGTGACTAAATGAATGAAGAAGCATATAAATGAATTAATTGATATTTCTAATATACCATGGATTGTGAAACTAATATGAGGAAAATTCAAAGTTCAGTAAGGCATTAAAAGATATTCGAAATTATGCCTTTTAGTGGCCTTCTGTGCTTACTTGTGGGCCCTTTATTTTATATCAGAAAACTGTCTTTGCAGGATAAGAAATCACTGTGATAATTAACAAATATATTAATTTTTTAAAATTAGCCTTCAACATTATATTAAACATAAAATTTCCATCATTTAATTACAATTGTTATGTCCTTGCATCTCCTTAATTTCTAAAATATACATGGATAAATTACTGATCTACAATCAACTGACATAATTAAGTTTTGCAAATATATTTTCATGCTACAAAAACTATAATGATGTACAAGTATTTCTCTCTCTCATACATACGAACTTAGAAAGTAGCAGAGCAGATTTATAGCTACAATGCACGTCGTCTAGTCAATGATTTCTTTCATTGTCTTTCATAACCCACAGGATTTTGAAAGTTGGTAATTTGACTGTTTTTTACTACATGGCTCTTACCTTACTCGTGCTTTGAAATGAGCCATCAGCTGACTGCTCCCACCTCCCATTCAAACCCTAAATTCTGAGATTCTCAGGCAGAGTTGGACCAGCATCTTCTGGGAATATGTAGAACAGTTCATTTGAAGGGAAGAGACAGAGAGTAGCTATGACCAAGACCAACACCAGAGCAGCTTTTCCTCTTTGCCTTTACCACTGCCCATCTCTTTGGTCCGCTTAAGAGTGCCTCAGCATTTGGTACAGCTTTACAGTTCAGAGATCCAAGGACCTGAAAGTGGTTTGTTTGTTTGGTCCATTCCTCCCTGAAGCCTTGACCTGCTGTTTTCTTGATTGAGAGTTCAAATTATTGGCAGTGATTTTTGCTTGTTAAAACACTGAAATGTAATATTCTAATATCAATATATTTTATTGTGTTTATTCAACTTTCTCCCCCTTTTTTTTGTTCTCACTTATCCTCGTTTTTTTGGAGCACTGCTTTTCCAGACTGAATACCAGATGTCTTCTACATTACATAGTAATAGTTTTTGTTTTATTGAAAAACCACTGCTATAGTCTGGCTACCAAGAGTGCCATTTTTGGTTGTTTCTACAGTTTAACATTTGGATTGGCAGATGGGGTGGAAAAGACTGCCAAGGGCAGGATGGTGTAATATATTGATCCCTTTAACTCCCAATGCAAGACCGTAAAATAGAAGAAATGATTATGATATATGTTGCATTCATCATATCAAACCCCAATATTACATAATATTTTAAAGCATCTTTTATAATTAACATGGACCAAGCTGATGTCATATGATTTATATTTTAAGTAGGCTACAAGATGCATGTAAAATGCAAAAGAGTTAGGGAATGTATCTTTTTCTATGAGCCATGGGAGTAAAGTGTAAGTACATGTGAGAGTCCCTAGATTCATGCTTTTATGATACTAGCCTATTGCCATGGTGATGGCTGTAAACAAGCCCATTACAACTCTCTGGAGCTAAATAAGATAGCATATAAGATAAATTAACTAGGTTATTGGAACAAGCTCCTACCGTGTGCTCTTTTAAAAGCCAATAGAATAATCTTTCCAAAATGCAAATCTAATTATGTCATTCTTTGAAACTAGTCAACAGTTTTCCATCACATATAGGATTCAGCTGCCTAAGTGTGGCAGAGATACTTAGTCCACCTTTCTAGTTTTCAAATTCAATTCTCAAGACGGTAGCTTCTACTCCTGAGTCCACTAGATCACAAGGAAAATAATTTGCATTACCTAGAAATACTGGGGTATTTCATGTATCTGTCAATTCATTTAAGCAAAACATGTGCTTTTCTGTGTCAAATACCACAGCCCTCAAAACCAACTCTTTAAGTTTAATGACTCAAACTTTCATTGAGTCATTTCTGCAGAAAAAGTTTGCAACATCCAAATTCATTTACCTGGGATTGTAACTGTTTTTATCATTGGAGTGATTATACTGTATTTAAAACTTAAATGTATTTTAAATTTGTAATATGTAAGTATATTAATTTAAATATATTTTTCTCCTATTACATAGAAGTCTATTTTTGGCAATGATTATGTCTTATATTCCTGTTTCTAGGACCTATTACAAGCCCAGCTCATATTGATCTCTTAATAAAATATTTTGCTTTAAGGTACATTGAGATAGTGATTAGTAACAATAATTAACGTTCATCGTTCAATTATTTTGTAATAATAATCTTTCAGATTCTCTTATTCTCGTTATTATAGATTTTCACACTTATATATTACATTTCTCCCTGTCATCTAGAACATGTCTTTTGTTTTTTTTTTTTTTTGTTTTTTTGTGTTTTTTGAGATGGAGTCTTGCTCTGTCTCTGGGCTCACTGCAAGCTCCGCCTCCCGGCTTCGTGCCATTCTCCTGCCTCAGCCTCCCGAGTAGCTGGGACTACAGGTGCCCGTCATCACGCCCGGCTAATTTTCTTTTTGTATTTTTAGTAGAGACGGGGTTTCACCTTGTTAGCCAGGATGGTCTGGATCTCCTGACCTCGTGATCCGCCTGCCTCGGCCTCCCAAAGTGCTGGGATTACAGGCATGAGCCACGGGGCCCAGCCATATAGATGACTTTTAAATTTATGTCTATGGCCCGGATTTTTTTCTCTGAATGAGTCCTGGATATCGAATAAGACATCTTCTCTTGTCTATCACAATGATAACAGAAAAGTGTTTCAGAGCGTAGGCTTTGAGCTGTGATCTTGTCTCTGCTTCTGACTGTGAGAGCTTGAGCAAGCTATATAACCATTCGGTATTACAATTTTCTTATTTGTAAAATGGAAATAATGAAAGTAATACCGTTCCCATGAGTTCTTGTAACGCTTCCATGAGATACATGTAAAGTGCTTAGAAAAGTGTTTGGCACATAGTAGGTGCTCAATAAATGTTATCTATAACCACTGTCAGGGCACTCCCTCATAAGGCTTTCATGATACCATATATATATATTTTTTTTTGAGACGGAGTCTCGCTCTGTCGCCCACGCTGGAGTGCAGTGGCACGATCTCCGCTCACTGCAAGCTCCGCCTCCCGGGTTCACGCCATTCTCCTGCCTCAGCCTCCCAAGTAGCTGGGATTACAGGCGCCTGCCACCACGCCCAGCTAATTTTTTGTATTTTTAGTGGAGATGGGATTTCACCATGTTAGCCAGGATGGTCTTGATCTCTTGACCTCGTGATCCGCCCGCCTCCACCTCCCAAAGTCCTGGGATTATAGGTGTGAGCCACTGCGCCCGGCCCCATATGTGTTCTTTTTTAAAAATGAAGCACACTGAAATCTTACATTTAACTTATTATTATTATTATTTGAGACAGAATAGAATCTCACTCTGTCACCCAGGCTGGAGTGCAGTGGCACGATCTCGGCTCACTGCAACCTCCGCCTCCTGGGTTCAAGCGATTCTCCTGCCTCAGCCTCCTGAGTAGCTGGGATTACAGGCGTGTGCCACCATGCCCAGCTAATTTTTAGTGGAGACTGTAGTTTTAGTAGAGACGAGGTTTCACCATGTTGGTCAGGCTGGTCTTGAACTACTGACCTCGTGATCTGAGCCCCCCCTCGGCCTCCCAAAGTGCTGGATTACAGGCATGAGCCACCACGCCTGGCCAGAATATTTTAGATAATGTATATATAAATAATGGAGTGACTGTGTAATTCCACTGATTTGGATCACCACTTCACTGCTATTTAGCATCATAGTATAGGTCTATATGTATTTTTCTAAAAAGTGATGTAATATTTTTACATATATAAAAATACACATATTTATTTGAAAAATTCTTCACTAGTTATTAATTGTGAGATGCTAACACGTAAGTATATTTTTATATCTTCACAGATCTCTTCATTCTGACCAATAAAAATGAATGTCTCCATTTCATCCAATATATAAGATAAAAAGGTTACATTCAATCTGTGCATCAATTTTCTCAAATGGCTTTCACGCATGTTAAAATATAGGAATTCTGGTGATGTGTGATGACCACACTTTATGAAAACTACTATCTCTCATTTTGAGTCAAAACAAAGCAAGTTTCACCAAATTTTCTCCTATGACCTAAATTTTGTCTTAAAATATAATTTAGAAAATGACCTACAAGAAGGCATCTATGTTTATAAAGATGGTCCCTGAATTAGGAAGATTTGACTTAGTACCTTTTTACTTTAAGGTGATGGGAAAGTGATATGCATTCAGTAACCTCCTCAACTTAAGATGGAGTTACAACTTAAGATGGGGTTTCAATTTACATTGTACGTTGAAAATTGTAAGTTGAAAACACACATTCAACTTACAATATTTTCTAATTATTATGGGTTTATCAGGACATAACCTCATTGTAAGTGGAGAAGAATCTGTATATTCATTTTGAATCCTTTGTCTTGTCCCTACCAAGAATTCTCATTTTAGTTGCAAACAGTTCTAATATTTTTTATATCCAAAATGTCTATGTGTGATTTTAAAATATCACTACAGAGAATTCACAAGATTTGGCAAAGTTTAGATTCATGTGAATCTTCTTAAATATGAAATCCATATCTAAAATAAGTAAACAAGTATATTCTATGTTTTTGGAGTGACTGCTGAGGCTTACTACACATTTGCCTCTGGTGGATATAATCATCGTCATTGTCAGTTTCACTGTCTGAAGCCTCAGGGACAATTCCATGCCTGTCAAAATTCTGATGGTTTCAGGTTGTTTTAAATTTTTACCACATATATGGTTATATATATAATATGTATAATCACACTAATACTATACTATATATACTATACTACATATATATAAAACTGTAACTATATAAAAAACTATATAACTATATATAAGTATATATATAGACTTCAAATTTATACTACCTTTTTTGTTTTTCCTTCATCTTTCAATGTTTCTTATTGAAATTATAATCTAAACACAAGTACGCTATAAATGGTTAAAGAATGTTATAAAAGTAAAACATAAAGTGTTCTCCAGAATTTACATTATTTTTGTGTTATCAAGGAATTCACAGTGTTGAGAGACAGGACTATAGCTAGTCACATCTTTGTAAACCAAAGCTCAATCAAGCATTAGTTCAGCATGGAAATAAACTGGTTTCTGAGGAGTAGTAAATTTTGTGTAATGAAAAATTAATAACTCATAGGTTAGTAAGGTAGCAAGCTAGATGAGCCTCTGACATTTGTTGAGAAGCATAATCTTCTCTATGGGACATTAGCTCCACCTCCAAAACATAAAAGTACCAACATTTGCCATTACCAGCTGTATTTACACACAATGCCCCTGCAATACCATCAATAACAAAAAGAAAGAGAGAAAGAGAGAAATTTGGCTAATTTCAACCTCTGATTTAATTTTAGGAGCACAGAATGTACAGATGTCCAAACTTCCACTCAAGAATCATTGAGAATTCAATGTTCCTAGATAATACTCCCTATTGCAATTGAATGTACCTTCTAGTGATGTTGCTCCAGTTTGAGGAGGATGGCTTTAAATTGTTGCCAAAATGTCTGTTAATGTTCACAATATTTGGATGAGAATTGAAAAGTGCCATGCTGAATTGCTAGTAATAAATAATTTTTGTTTGTTACTTTTGTTTGATATTTCCATTTGTACTTTCTTTCACATTTCAGCTATATATTTGTTCACCAGCTATCAGGATTTATAATTGGGGTGTCTTCTACAATTAGATACAACATTACTGCCTTCATAGTAACTTAAGAATCAAACATTTTTGTTAAAAGGAAAAGCAGCTTGTGGCAGCAATGTCACAACTGTGAAAACACCACAGTACTGATGTTACTTAGTTTCTCGTCAGACTGAGCTAGTCAGTTAGCTTGATTTTTTTTCCCCCACCTGACACATCTGTGAATTTGTAGTGTCTTAGAAGAATCGATCTGAAGCAAACAAAGATCATTTAGTTCATTCCCCTCAGGTTGCAGATGAGGAAATTCACTTGTGAAGAGAGAAAATTAAAAGCTATTTGCCCAAAGGCTTAGACTGTCATATACAGGTGCAGCCAGGTCTAAAAACAAACCTCCAAGATATTCTAATTACAGTCTCACAAAACATGGTATATATTGTTAGTAATATAAGCAGTTTGTATTTTTAAAATAAAGCTTCTATACTTCAAAATAATTTGTTGAAAAATGAGAAATTCAAACCTTAAACTCATTTTTTTTCTAATTTTTGTCAAGTCAGATCACCTATATATCTAATTTATTCCTTCTCAGTAGAAAAATAATCCAGATGACAATTAGAGACAAACATATATGAAGTATTTTAAAATTATACTATTAGTGAACATAAGCTCATATATTTATACAAAATCTGCAACATAAATATTAAAATAGCTTGCTAATTTTATTAAACTTAAGGTAGTTATAAGTTAATGTAATTCTGTTTTATAGTGGGTTGTACATTATCTAAAAGCCAAAAATAATCATAGGCATAAATTGAAACTTCAGCTTAAGAGTGTCGTATTTTAGCAACCATTAACTTGTTAGTTCACCAGTAAGTAGATATGTGTAATATGAGGAATGAATAGCTTTGGAATTACATGTAAATTGCTGGTAAGAATGGAAGAGATATATCTTTATTTACTCAGTTGGTAGTTATCAGAAGGACACTTGAAGTCCACCTATCATATTTTATACCAATTTGAAAGCAGCTCTTATATAGGATTTCAAACTACTCATTTTGTTTTCCTTTTAATGTCATTTTTCTCACTAATTTGACCAAATTTTTAATGAAATTGATCCCACAAATTACAGATCCAACCTATGGAAAATTATAGGGGTAAAAGCAAATTTTTTATTAATATAAAATATTTTACTGATCGATGGGGGTACGCATGAGTATTTGTTTCATGCATAGAATGTGTAATGATCAAGTCAGGGGATTTGAAGTATCCATCACCTTGACCATTTATCATTTCTCTGTTTTCCTAACATTTCAAGTCCTCTCCTCTACCTATTTTGAAATGTACAATACATTGTAGCTAACTCCGGTCGTCCTACTCTGCTGTGGAATATTGGGTCTTGTTTCTTCTATCTAATTGTATGTTTGTACTCACTAATCAACTCATCTTTATTCCCCACAAAAGCCAATTTTAAAAATTATTTTTTATATCCCAATGATTACATGGAAACAAGCTACTCTATACAGACACAAAAGCAGTGAGTTACTCTATATATCCACATAAAAGATTTTCCACATCCATTTAATTATTCACACTATTTTTTTCTGGGAATTATATTTATGTCCATTCAATCCCCTACCGGGGAATTCTAAGACCACTTTTGTTTTCATTTTCACTTTAAATGCTAAGAAACTCAAGAGAAAACGTGAGATGAATATTCTACAAAATGAAAATTTGTAATCTCTTATCGGAGTTATCAGATTCCATCATAATTGTTTTGCATTAGCAAACAATAAGTTTTTGGAATAGGAATGAGGAGATAGTTGAAGGTAGACAGTGGCACTGGGATTTATAATATAATCGTTAGTGGATATATCATAATGCCAACTGCTGAGAACCACTTTTGAAAGATTTTTAATTTTTTTCTATAGTGTTAAATGTTCAATGTTTGCAAATATGTGGAACATGAATTTCATTAAGATTTTATATATAAAATCCAGTTTATAAGAAATACTAGGGGTGGATGGATAGGTTAGCAAAAGAAAGGAGGAATGTTTTGAATATTATATTTTAGGTATTAAAAAATAAATGAACTCAAGGAGGCTACATGTCTCTTACGAGTCTGAAATAATAAGATAGCATTGCCTTACTTAACTTTCTTGAATATGTGGATTAAAATTTCTGATGTATTTTAATACTTCTTACATAATAGTATTATCCATTTTAATACTATGAATATATTTTATCCTGTTTTTTCTCAAATTGCACATATAATTGTCATAGAAGGTACCAATAAAGGCAATGAGTTTTCTTTATCAGACAGGCTAGGTCAGGACACTAGTCAGGAGTATGCACTCTAACATCTTGTATCTAGGTTAGGTAGAATGGTTATTTCGAAGTGGCTGAAAACAAAAAGAATTAGAGGATGGTTAAAGTAGGGGAGCGAGTACATAATCAAGCATTAAAAAGGTTACCCTAATGATCAATTCTGAGTCACGGAGCAGAGCCAGGTACCAAAGACAAGGTCGAGCAGTTGATTGACAGAGTAATACTTGAAAGAGCAGAGAGGAAGGATGGAATCAAATACACCTGTTCTAAATATGGCTATAGGCTTTCAGCTCATTTCTTCCATTGTCTTATGATATTTTCAAGTGTTTAAACTGAATTAAATAAAATATATTTTGTTGTGCTTTCTTTTGGTGTGTTTATTTTTTGTTGGAAGCACTATAGCATAGTTTCGTGTTACTAGAATGTCATCTTATTTAGAACCACTTGAGGAGTCTTTTAAAAGGCAGATGCCTGAATTTCATTTCCAGAGATTCTGATGTAGCAGATATAGAATCTGCTTTGTATTTAATAACTATTCAAAATTCTTGGTGCAGTTTTTTTCCATGAACTGAGAAAATACGGTATCATGAGTAAAAGCATAAACTATGAGTTTAGACTAGTTTTGAATGTCAACTTCAACACATATTCAATGTGAGACTTTGAAACATCCTAACCCTGGTTTTCATCAGCTATAAAATGGACTAAATAATAATTGCATCACACTTTTTAATGATTAAATCCGGTGATGTATGTAAAAAACATACTGCAGAGTATCTACCTAATATTTTATAAATAGCTATGAACATAGATGAATCAATATCTATTAACAAAGGAAAAAAGAGGACAAATTCAGGATTTAAATCCTCAATTGTCCTAAACCTACCACCTAAATTTGCCTGATTCCTTCTCTTTGCCTGATTCAAGTATTATTCTGTCATTCAACTGTTCGACCTTGTCTTTGGTACCTGGCTCTGCTCCCCGACTCAGAATTGATCATTAGGGTAACCTTTTTAATGTCTGATTATGCACTCTCTCCCCTACTTTAACCATCCTCTAATTCTTTTTGTTTTCAGCTACTTTGGAATAACCATTCTACCTAATCTAGATCCAAAATGTTAGAGTGCATACTCCTGACCAGTGTCTTGACCTAGTCTGTCTGATAAAGGAAACTCATTGCTTTTATCGGTACCTTCTATGACAATTATATGTGCAACTGGAGGAAAAAAAAACAGGATAAAATATATTCATAGTATTACAATGGATAATACTATTATGTAAGAAGTATTAAAATACATCAGAAATTTTAATCCACATATTCAAGAAAGTCAAGTAAGGCAATGCATCTGATTCTTTCAGACTCATAAGAGACATGTAGCCTTCTTGAGTTCATTTATTTTTTAATACCTAAAAATGAATGTTCAGAACATCCTTCCTTTCTTTTGCTAATAGCCTTCTTATATGAACTCTTTCCTTAATTTCTACTTTAGCCCATGCAGAAAGGAGCTAGAATCATTGTCAGCATCTTCTCTGATATGTAGAAGCTTCTGTACACTGACCTTGCTGCATGTCACTTGGTTCTCACTGCTAGGTGTTTATCAGGGAAGAAAACCAGTGCTTAAATACCATCCTGTAGCATTAGTAAGCCCAAATAAGAAAGTGAAGGAGGACACTCTCCTTCCACTCCCACATTTTATTTTCCTGAAACATGATATTTCTCTTTTGTATTTTTCCCCTGGACATGCCTCTTACACTTAATTTGTTTCTCATAATTATTATGTAATAAGGTTATCTGACACATTTAATAAATTCTTAAGTTACAAATAAATTATACATTTAGGAAAACATAAACAAAGACATCATTTCCCCGTTCTCACCTTTACCTTGTCACTGTATGCATATGCAAATATACGATTACCAAAAATAAATGGCCATTTCTGAACACAGAAAACAAAGGTTTAAATAAAAATTTTGACTAATATATTATTTAGTTTACATAAATACCTCCACTTTTGCCTTCAACCAGCACTCCACTTGAATGGATGAAAGAATAACTTAGTCAACCACACTGGTTTGCAGTCACTCTCTATGATTGTACAATATGAGTGACAGTGCAGGTGATCATTTTGCTATAGGATGGAGAAGCTGACCATCATTGTTAAGTAGAGAGAAAGTGTCAAGTTTTGTAAGAAGATCTGAACACAGAGTTTATTATTCCACTATGACTATCAGGAAGATTTGCCACATTCTTTATGCCAAGATTTGACATATAAAATGAAAGCAAAAATGTTCTAAATAGCTTCTCACAATGAAGAAAAACATGTTCTTAAAGAACTGTGATGGGTCACTTAAAGAACATGGGGCTTTTGTTTTTATTTTGTCATTTTTCCAAAACAAAAAATGACATAGATAAACACAAAACACTAAAACATAAAAGTAAAAATGTTTTTGTGGACACCATAATTTAGAAGAGAAATTGACCATTTTATGGCTCCATCTCAGAAAATACTAGGATTGTTTAGATATCATCACATATAATGTTTCTATCCCCTGAGAGTTATACCTATACCTTATTTCTTTTCAAATGAATGAATCTCTCTTAACTTGTAAATCACAATACAAGCAAAGTATATTGGATACCTCATTTTATTTTAATTTTAATGCACTACTATGTCTCTCTAGTGAAAAGTGTATTATTCATTGAAAAAAATAATAATTATTTATATTTTTCCAAACAGAAAAGTTGTTGCTGTTGATACAAGGATCAAAATGCCCTCCTTTAAAAATACTCATTTGGATAACTCTCAACACTAAGCATTTACATTCTATTATTTAATCTTTATTCAAATTTTGATTTAATTTCTGGAGGTTTGATACAGTTGTGATTATATTTTATCTGAAATCTTTGTGTTCGACAAGATACACACTATTTCAAAATATTTAAAGATGTTTGTTGGATAGTAAATATTGTCAAAGAGTTCAATATAATAACATAGAAAATATGGAAAACAGAAACAACAGTTTAAGAATGTAATGTAATGAAATGGAATGATCATGGACCTGATAGATGGAAGGTGTAAGTTTTTGATCCTAGCTTTCAGCAAGAATTTTTTCAACTCTTAGTTCCCTGTGCTGTAAAGCAAGGGAATTTGCTTTCAACAGTATGATGTTGAAAGTAATTCAACATCAATGTGATTTTAAAAAATTATAATTAATTATAAAAAATTAGGTTCAATGTAATTATTTTTAAGTGTCTAAATTCCTGATAAGTTTTCTAATCTTTAATTTACCTATTCCACCTATATCGTAACATCCCAATTAGAAAAATACAAATAATAATTGATTTTTACTCAGAGGAGATTAATATTTACTAAATAAAAGTGTCATATAGTCTTATCACTATATTTTTAAATTTTTAAATTAATTAGTAACTTATCGTGTCAGCTTTTGTGCCAAAACAAACCACTCTAATACTTAGTGTCTTAAAAAAAACTCCCTTTATTGAGGTTACAGTACTGTGGGTTAGCAAGTGGGGCTGGCCTCAACTGGGTGGTTCTTTTGCTAGTTTCTTTGAAAGGCTCACTTATGTCTGGCTGGAATCAACTGCCACGTCAGGTGTCAGCTGATTGGTCAAGGATGAACTCATTTGAGATGATATCTCTGCTCCACGAGGTCTCTCAGACATCAACCAACAGTCTATTCAACACAGGTATTTTGGAATCTGGGTGCTCATGAACTCTTATCAAGAGCAAAAGCTATAAGGCTTAAAAGTGTCAGACTGTCTTTGTGCAAGCTCAGAGCTTGTCAAAGCAAGGCATAGGCTAGTCAAACACAGAAATAGGGGGGAAAGTACACCTCCTAATGGAAGTAGTTACAAAGCGTTCCAGCTGGTTTACAAACTCCCCCAACAGTTACTAAGGTAGTATTATGTATGCCAGATGTCATCATGATTCACTGTTGGTTATGTGGGTTGAGAAGATCTTGTTTTTTGTGTTTCCTGTATTTTGCAGAGAATTTAGAGAGAGAATCCATTTCCAACTAATGTAGCTTAGCCATAATAAATGTGCTGCTTTAAAAACTTGTCATGCCTTTTCTAACTACTCCCAAATAATATTAAGCTTCAATTTCTTTTATATATTCTATTTAACTTAACTTTATTATTTTATTATTGTTCATTGTTTAGAAGGCTTCAATATGCTTATTTTGATTAATTTTGATCACTTGTAGCAAAGGATACTATAAAGCCATAAAGGGTAAAAAATACAGGTAATGACAAGAAAATTAAAGTTTTGAGGAAAAAAATTAGCATTGCTTCTTTTTTTGAGACGGGGTCTCACTCTATTTTCCAGGCTGGAGTGCAGTGGCACAATCTCAGCTCACTGAAACCTCCGCCTCCCTGGTTCACACAATTCTCCTGCCTCAAATTTCAGAGTAGCTAGGATTACAGGAGTGCGCCACCGTGTCTGGCTAATTTTTGTATTTTTTTTTTAGTAGGGATGGGGTTTCACTACGTTGGCCGGGCTGGTCTTGAGCTCCTGACCTCAAATGATCCGCCTGCCTCAGCTTCCCAAAGTGTTGGGATTACAGGTGTTAGCCACTGCGCCTGTCCCAGTATTACTTTCAACTCAGTAAAGATGGTTATCTCCAAATTATAAAGTATATTTAGGAACTAATGAACACAATACAAAAATTTGACATCGTTCCAACAATCTCTTGCTGCATAACAAACTACCCAAAACTTGGTGGCTAAAAACAACAAAAAAATAGTATTACTTTTCTTTTCTTTTTTTTTTTTTTTGAGTTGGAGTCTCACCTTGTAGCCCAGGCTGGAGTGCAGTGGCACGATCTCGGCTCACTGCAAGCTCCGCCTCCTGGGTTCACACCATTCTCCTGCCTCAGCCTCCCGAGTAGCTGGGACTACAGGCGCCCGCCACCACGCCACGATATCTTTTTTGTATTTTTAGTAGAGACGGTGTTTCACTGTGTTAGCCAGGATGGTCTTGATCTCCTGACCTCGTGATCCACCCACCTCGGCCTCCCAAGGTGCTGGGATTACAGGCCTGAGCCAACGCGCCCGGCCAATAGTATTACTTTTCATGCTTTTGTGGTTTGACTAGACTCAGACGGATAGTTCTTTCCTTAGATCTTGCATTTGGCTGTAATGGGAAAGCAACTGTGGCCGAGATCATCTGAAGGTTCAATTCCACCTTCACAGTTGTGTGGGGAATTCTAGATGTCTTCATTCTCCTATCTGACACATGGACCTTCCTTAGCCACTCTCCCTCTCCATGCAAAATATCACATTATCCATATGAATTGCTTGTTTCCCAAGCAAGAGAGGCCCAAGGTAGTCACAATTCTTACAGTTGTTAGCTCCCAAAAGTCAAGAAGTAACAACTATCAGGCCAAATGAGGCGCCACACAGAGCTGTTAAAAGCCCTATCCATAATCAAGGGGGTGAAGATTCTGCTCCTCAACAAGAATGTGGCAGGATAACATTGCAAAGAGCATGCAGGATAGGAGACATTGTTGTAGCTATCTTTAGAAAATAAAACGTGGTAGAGTAATGAACACCATTTTATGATAAGAAAAATCAGTCTCAGAGAGATTAGATACACTGTGCATTATATCATAGCTATTGGGTGGCAGATTTGTGATTCAAACCCAGGTCCACCTGGTTTTAAGACCCGAAATTTTTTATCAAAAGTAATGAAATTGATGACTGTTATTTAAAACACATACACACATATCACACATGCATATTGGGTAAGCACCTTTCTTTATGATATTGAGAGGTGACAGCGTGCTGGCAGTCCTCACAGCCCTCACTCGCTCTCGGCCCCTCCTCTGCCTGGGCTCCCACTTTGGCGGCACTTGAGGAGAACTTCAGTCTGCCGCTGCACTGTGGGAGCCCCTTTCTGGGCTGGCCAAGGCCGGAGCTGGCTCCCTCAGCTTGCGGGGAGTTGTGGAGGGAGAGGCACGGGCGGGCGGGAACTGGGGCTGCGCGCGGTGCTTGCGGGCCAACGCGAGTTCCGGGTGGGCATGGGCTCCGGGGACCCCGCACTCGGAGCTGCTGGCCGGCTCTGCTGGCCCCGGGCGATGAGAGGCTTAGCACCTGGGCCAGCGGCTGTGGAGGGTGTGCTGGGTCCCCCAGCAGTGCTGGCCCACCAGCACTCCTGTGCAGCCTGAGCCTCCCCTCAGCCCGAGCCTCCCCAAGGAGTGCCGCCCCCTGCTCCACGGCACCCAGTCCCATCGACCACCCAAGGGCTGAGGAGTGTGGGCGCATGGCACGGGACTGGCAGGCAGCTCCCCCTGCAGCCCCAGTGCAAGATCCACTGGGTGAAGTCAGCTGGGCTCCTGAGTCTGGTGGGGAGGTGAACATTTATGTCTAGCTCAGGGATTGTAAATACACCAATCGGCACTCTGTATCTAGCTCAAGGTTTGCAAACACACCTATCAGCACCCTGTGTCTAGTTCAGGGTTTGTGAATGCACCAATCGACGCTCTGTATCTAGCTACTCTGGTGGGGACTTGGAGAACCTTTGTGTCCACACTCTGTATCTAGCTAATCTAGTGGGGACGTGGAGAACCTTTGTGTCTAGCTCAGGGATTGTAAACGCACCAGTCAGCGCCCTGTCAAAACAGACCATTGGGCTCTACGAATCAGCAGGATGTGGGTGGGGCCGGATAAGAGAATAAAAGCAGGCTGCCAGAGCCCACAGTGGCAACGCGCTGGGGTCCCCTTCCACACTGTGGAGTGTTTGTTCTTTTGCTTTTTGCAATAAATCCTGCTGCTGCTCACTCTTTGGGTCCACACTGCCTTTATGAGCCTTAACACTGCGAAGGTTTGCAGTTTCACTCCTGAGGCGGGGAGACCATGAACCCACCAGAAGGAAGAAACTCCCAACACATCCGAACATCAGGAGGAACAAACTCCAGAGGTGCCACCTTAAGAGCTGCAACCCTCACCGCAAGGGTCCGCGGCTTCATTTTTTAAGTCAGTGAGACCAAGAACCCACCAATTCCGGACACGATATGGCTGTCAGAAATCTATCAGACAAATTTCATCCACATATATTTTTATTTCAATGTTAAAAAAAAATCCCTTAAGGATTTAACTCCCATTGTGCACAACACAATCAGGATTTAAAATGTAAGGTGTTATTTTGATCATAAGTGGATGATTTTATCTTGTACCTTGATAAGATGGTATTCTGTCTTTAAAAAATGAGAAAGAGGGCTGGGCGTGGTGGCTCATGCTGTAATCCCAGCACTTTGGGAGGCCGAGGCAGGCGGATCACGAGGTCATTAGATCAAGACCATCCTGGCTAACACGGTGAAACCCCCTCTGTACTAAAAATACAAAAAATTAGCCAGGTGTGGTGGCACATGCCTGTAGTCCCAGCTACTCGGGAGACTGAGGCAGGAGAATCGCTTGAACCCGGGAGGCAGAGGTTGCAGTGAGCAGAGATCGTGCCACTGCATTCCAGCCTGTGCGACAGAGTAAGACTCCATCTGGAAAAAAAAAAAAAAAAAAAAAGAAAGGACAGAAACATTACAGTCGTTTGTCTTAGCCTATTAACATGTACTCAATTTTATATTCACACATTCTTAAGACAATGATGTGGACACCTTAATTAACCTAATTAACACACACAGGCAGAAAAATGCTTTGGTAAAAGAATGATAACCTTATCAAATATTTTACATATATTTTGGAAGACACTGGCCTTTCTTATTGACAACCAAATATAATTTTTATCTTGTCAGCAAGAGGACTTAAATGTGCCCTGCAGCTTGACTAAGCTTTAGATTGGTTTCTTCCTGACCAGAGGTCCCTTACCTCCCTTTTCTTAGTGCTTTAATTTAGAAAACTTGCAATCGTAAATTCTTTCTCTGCCCCTTAGACATGGAAATTGTCTACAACCCAGGAATGTCTTTCTCAGGGAGTTAGGAACAATCCTTTGAAATGTAATCAAGAAACAGACCACCCCTATCTTTCTTGATTGCATTCAAGTTTCTTTGGAGGGGTAGAAGCCTATCTTTGATAAACGCCAACTAGCAAACACAGATGGAATAATCACATTGACTAATCTTCTCCCTAAAGTCCTCCAGGGTTTTTCCATTAGCTCAACCCAGCATTTAAAACCCCTCTTAACTTGTGTTTTACAGTAGTTGAGTTCAATCTCTTTTCTCTATTGCAATAGCTTTGAATGCTATTGAAATGGTGTGAAACATAAGTCTTTCTAGCCTGTTTCACTGTGCCTCGTGGAATTTTTCCTTGACAACTGAATTAAGTTTTTTGTTTGCTAGACATAAATTTAATTACCAAACCATTTTCACTGGTTTCTCTTTGACATCTACAATTGGAGTCCCAAGAACTTGATGTTATTGTTCTTCTTTGGTTCCAAAAACAAACAAGTTTTTATTCATGAAATGTTTGTTACTTATACAGTAAACTGCAAAAGTATTTTCCAAGGTGAGAGGTTTAGGTTCTGTAAGAAGAAAGCAAGAGCAAAACAGGAAGAGTGTATTGGGGTGTTACAGTGGCTGGGGGCTGGAGGTGAAGAATCCTGATGTAGACGGGAATTTCCCACCAGCCTCAAAGGATAAATGGCACAAAGTGACTCTCTCATCTTGGAGGCCAATTGAGGAGGGTCAAAGAAGAGAGGTGGGAATGGAGTCCACCTGCTTGCTACAAAAATAAGTGTAAACGTAGTAATGCACTTTATTTTAGCAGTTACAGTCAAAGGAGGAAAACATAAACAAAACAGGGCTTGAGTTAGACAGTGATGCTTGTACATGTCTTTTGGGTGCAAGAAAATTCTCTATAAGCCTGAGACTTTGGCAAAGCCTGAGCACTGTCTCAGGGGGATACTTTTGTAGTGTCCTGGTAGTGGCTAGCAGCTGGGCTGTGCTACATTAAGAAGTCTTTGTGAAGAACAGATTTTAATGATGAAAGACAAGTTTCACTAACTGCTCATACTTAGAATGATAAGAATAATTGTTAAAGTGCTTTGCAAAAATGAGAAACATGATTTAAGCATTTTGTTAGTGATGATGATGATGATATCAGATAAAAACATATTAAGAATATTTAAATCTAAAATTACAAAACGAAAACATAAATATGTTTAAAGCTCAAATGTCCAATAGCTTGCATTATCTGTACTGGTGTTTCCAAGTAGTAACAAGAAATTATGTATATTATAAATAAGGTTGAAATACTGGCAAATTGTTAGTCTTATATCAATGTATTAATAGAATAAAAAAGATCACGGTAGTTCTATTTATCAAAAGTGTTTTCTTAAAATGCATAAAAATCTTAGTAGAAGCTATGTTATTAAACAAAATTGGAGAAAAATAGTTATATTCAAAAGATTTATACATTTTGGAGATGATCCCAGTTATGATGTGATTGACAAAGGACTTTTTTTTTCATTTTTGTTTAATAAAAATTGATTGCACTTATTACAGCGTCATGCATCATTCTATTACTGGAGCTAGGAGACATTTCTTCCTTATTCCTATTTGCAGTCACTTTTAGCCTTCAAAAACACATTGGCTTGAAATTCATCATCATTGTTCTCCTGATTCGTAAATGAGAATTTTCATTGAAAATTTGGTGAAATTCCATTCTCCATTTTTTGAGTTACTGGAGCATTAAAATTAGATATTTTTCACCTGCATGTCGTTTTAGGTACAATTTGGAGTATTTTTCTGGTGAAGGTCATTGAAGAAAACTTTGGGGTGAGCATATTCCTGAAAGTAGAAAACTATTTTGAAAAATTTTATATAAAATTTTTGGTATTTACTTTGGATATTATAGTGGAAACAAAATTTAAAAAACACTCTAAAACTACAATTTCTGTTTATTCTTAATTTATAGTATTTATTCAATTCTCTTTTCTAATTCTTATCGTTGTACTCACATCTTTCTGGGGACACTGACATGTCTTTTCCTACATAAGATTCAGTACAAAAATACACTGTATTTTCATTATAATCTAAAAGAGTAAGTGTTTCCATATTGTAATGCATATCAATTAAGGTATTTTAAAGATTATATTCTATGTTAAAAATAAATGTGTGTGTAATTTTTTGTAACTTTTATCATGACTTAATTCCTTGAAAAAAACAAAAATAATGATTTCATCTGGATTTCATGCCTAGTTACATGACCCAGTAGATTTGACTCATGAAAATAAAAAAAAAAAAGCTTGAAGGTAAACATCTTTATTATTATTTTATTTTTATTTATTTATTTATTTATTTTTTGAGACGGAGGCTTGCTCTGTCGCCCAGGCTGGAGTGCAGTGGTGCGATCTCGGCTTACCGCAAGCTCCGCCTCCTGGGTTCACACCATTCTCCTTCCTCAGCCTCTCGAGTAGCTGGGACCACAGGCGCCCGCCACCACGCCCGGCTAATTTTTTTTTTTTTTTTTTGTATTTTTAGTAGAGACAGGGTTTCACCATGTTAGCCAGGATGGTCTCCTGACCTTGTGATCCGCCCACCTCGGCCTCCCAAAGTGCTGGGATTACAGGCGTGAGCCACCGCACTCGGCCTATTATTTTAATTTTAAAATTAGCATCTATTAAGTAAAATTGGGAAAATAACAAAATAAAAGTTAAATATAAAAATTAAATTCCCCTAAATCCTCACACCCAAACATAACAAAAACATTTTCTAGTATTTCCTACAGATATTTTAAACAGAAACATGTACACACACACATATGTGTGTTCATGTATGTGTGTATGTATATGTATATGTATGTGTGTGTATATATATAAGATTATATATACAAGTGTATCTATATATACATGCAAGTCATTATATATATATGTATAAAATCACTTGTAAGCTGAAGAAAGACTTCCCAAAAATATTCACATCCTTATCTCTGATATTTCTGAATGTTACCTCACATGGCTAAACAAGTTTTTGAATATGCTTATATTAAGTATTTCTCTTTTTTTTTTTTTTTGAGACCGAATTTCACTCTGTTGTCCAGACTAGAGTGCAGGGGCACAATCTCAGCTCACTGCAACCGCCACCTCCCAGGTTCAAGCGATTCTCCTGCCTCAGCCTCCTGAGTAGCCGCCTCACAGCATCTGGCTAATTTTTGTATTTTTGGTAGAGACCAGGTTTCTCCATTTTACCCAGGCTGGTCTTGACCTCTTGGCCTCAAGTGATCCACCCACTTTGGCCTTCCAAAGTGCTGAGATTACAGGTGTGAGCCACCATGCCTGGCCACATATTAAGTACCTGGAGATAAAATTATCCTCAATTACCCAGATAGACCTTAAATGCAATCACATGTATCCTTAACAGAGGGAGGAAGAGGGAGATAGCACAGACACACAAAGGAGAATGAAATGTTAAGATTGAGGCAGAGATTAGAGTGATGTGGCCACGAGGTGAATAATTCTGGCAACCACTAGGAGCTGTAAATGGATGAATAGATACAGAAAAGAGGGTACATATACACAATGGCATATTATTCAGCAAAAAAATGAAATCCTATCATTGACAAAAAAACATGTAGATTGAAGCTGACGATACTGTATTAAGTGAAATAAGCTAAAAACAGAGAGACAAACATTGTATGATCTCACTCTTATGTGGGGGCTAAAAGGAAATTCAACTCATGGAGATACAGAGGAGACTGATGGTTACTGGAGTTTGAGAAGGGTAGTGAGGAGGGGAGCATAGAGAGAGGATGGTGAATGGCTGAAGAAATACAGTTAGCTAGAAGGAACAAGGTCAAGTGTTTGATGGCACAACAGGGCAACTATAGTTAACAATAATGTGTTTGATATTTCAAGATGACTAAAAGAATGGAATTATACTCTTCCTAACACAAAGAAATAATAATAAATTCTTGAGGTGTTGGATATCTTAATCACTCTGATTTGATCATTACACATTGTATACTTGTATCAAAATATCACATGCACCACATGAATATGTACAGCTATTATGTATCCATTATATCGGCCTCCTTCTTAAGAAGCTCTGATAGAGAATTTGGTCCTTACCATTAACATTTTTATTTTTTATTTTTAATAATAACTATTATTTATTTAAAAAACAAAAATATTAAAGGCAAGGAATAAATTCTCTATCAGAACCTCTTAAGGAAGTGTTGCCTTGTAACATCTTGACTTTGACCCAGTGACACTGATTTTGAACTTCTGGCCACCAGAACCTTGAGAAAATAAATTTCTACTGTTTTAAGCTATCAGTTTTTAGTAATTTGTTACAGCAATCCCAGGAAACTCATAAACCACATAATTATAAACACGCGATTGTTGTATAGATAATTTTATTTTCTAGTGTTGTCACTTTATTTATTAGTTTACACCATTCTTGGCATGTCTTTATCTTTTTCCATCAGTTACATAGGTAAAAATTTGACACGCTAGCTGTTGCTTCCAAAGGGATCTAAAACAAGGATATAGCCTTCATCACTTCACAAGTTTTCTTTTTATTCTCTCCACAGCTATATGTGTTGGTATTTAATATTGACTCAGAAAGGCATAACAGTTTCTTCTCTCCTTTGTCTCTGGCTGTGAATTCTGCCAATTCACTTACTGGTGACTTTTCATCAATCCTTGATTGAAAGTGATGTGACAGTGGTTACTTTGTGGTCAAGCCTTGGAATCCAGGTATTATATTGATTTTTTTAAAAGTACCTTGCTTTTAAACAACCCAGCATTATCACAAAAACGAATCTGGTATTGAATCTTGCAAAAATGGCCTAATCTCCTTAGAGGAGAATGATGCTATGGAAATACCAATAATAAATTTAAAATATTATTGAGATGAATGAAAAGGTTTCAATTGCCTTCAGGCCACTGCCATTATGAATGGACTGTGGATCTATGTTTTGAGGAAAATAAAATATTAAGAAGTATTTACATCATTTTCTTTTGTTTTACATAGAGAGAATCAATACATACTACATAGAGATGATAAATTATTCCAGTAGAAGAGGCAATAAATGATTCTCCTCTACACCTTGGGTAATATAATATTTCCTTTCATTTATGAATGAACTGCACTTTTAGCCATATAAAAGCTCTCTGCTTGTCTCATTTTATAGCTATAATTTGTTTTCTTATAATTACATATGTTAAGCAATGAAACTACAGCGTCCAGCAACCGTTGCCACTTAAAAGATTACTTGAAGACTCAGCTTAGTATTGTATAATGCTTGCAGCCTTGCAGACCTGTGCTTTGGTTTGGTTTGTTAGCTTTTGTGATTTTGTGCCTGGGATAGGGTTCACTTCACCCTGTGTAAGAAGCAGCACAACTCTCAAATTAACTGTTTTATTTCTTGTATAAAATTATTTTATGTGTGTGTGTGTATGAATGCTAGAGAGATAGAGAGAGAGAAAGATCACAAATATCAATGTCTAGGTGGCAACAAGAACTAGCTATTACTGAGTCTTCTCTTAAGAGTATGATATTCAATACTAGCATTTCACATGGCATTGTTTTTGCTACACCAATGAAGTTACATTTAACATTCATATTGGAACAACAATGAATTACAGTTACTATTGTGATGAAATCACAATTTTATCTGGACTCTGGGAATTTAAGCCCAAGAAATACATAGGGAAGGAAAAGCTTATTAGTTTCCTGGGCTGCTTTAACAAAGTATCACCATCTGGGTGGCTAACATAACAAAAATAAATTTTCTCACAGTTCTAAAGGCTGAAAGTCCAAAATCAAGGTTTCACCAGAATTGGTTACTTCTGAGGGCTTTGGGAGATAACCTGTTTCATCCCCCTTTCAGAGATTCTTGTGGTTTGCTGGCAATCTTTGGCATTCCTTACATTGTATCTCTGCCTTCATCTTTAAATAGCATTCATCCTGTGAATGCATCTAACTACCAATTTTCTCCTTTTATAATGACATTCATCATATTGGATTAAGGATCCACCCTATTCTAATATGACCTCCCCTTAAGTAATTACATCTGCCACAACCCTGTTTCCAAATAAGAACATATTCTAAGGTACTGGGGGTTAGGACTTCAACATTTAAATTTTGTAGAAACACAATTAAATCCTTTCCAGGGAATATTCTGCCTGGCTTTTCTTTTGTTTTTGTTTTTTGAAGCTTCAGTGTGGGGTGACATCATGGAGACACAACAATAGAAAATATTCGTGGTAGAAAAGGAGATATCTATGGGAAGTTGATATAGTTTGGTTCTGTGTCCCCACACAAATCTCATGTTGAAATGTAATTCCCAATGTTGGGAAAGGGACCTGATGAGAGATGATTGGATCATGGGGGTAGATTCTGCCCTTGCTGTCTTTCTGATAGTGAGTGAGTTCTCACCAGATCTGATGGTTTAAAAGTGTGTAGCACTTCCCCCTTTACACTCTCTCCTGCTCCACCATGGTAAGATGTGCTTCCTTCCCTTTCACCTTCTGCCATGATTGAGCTTCCCAAGGCCTCCCAGCCATGCTTCCTGTTAAGACTCCTGAACTGTGAGTTAATTAAACCTCTTTTTTTCCTAAATTACCCAGTCGCAGGCAGTTCTTTATAGCAGTGTGAGATAGGACAAATACAGAAGTGGTAATTAATAATAACATTTTGAAAGGCTAAAGAGACTTTAGGACCAAATGGTATGCACCTTCCCATTACCCTAGGGTGGCTAATTTTTCTGATACTTCTATAATACTTGGGTCATTTTGGGGAAATTTTATATTTTAATTGTTAAGGCTTCACTGGGGCAAAAATTATTGTTAACATACATGTATTGGTTTAGAAAAGACAAACAGAGAAGTTTAATTTATTTTGACTTTTTAAATCAAACAGTTTGTGAATAGCTATAGATTCAGTTGTTTAGTCATTTTGAGTTCTAGTTTATTAATTGATTTATATAAATGTCAACATGCTCATTTTATGGGCATGACACTCACTGGAGTGCTATTTGATGAATGCAATTAATAATTGTAATCATTCTGAATTAAATGGGAGTGGAAAGAAGAGAGAAGTTAATACAAAAAAGAAAAAACAGAAAATCAAGGAAATGGAAGGAAGTTAAAAGAGTTAGGAGAATGAGAATGAAAGAAAAACACATGAAAACAAGACTTATCACCTGACCTGAACCCTTTTTTTTAAGCATCATATGGTTCACGTACTAAATTCAGATAGGAATATCTTCTTATAAAGTACTTCACATTCATCTTTTTTTCATTTAGATCCCCCATACTCACAGAAATGAGATGTTTTAATTACACTCATTATGAAATGATGTCAAAATTCATTTTAAATTTCAGCAAACACAAAATCTTTCTGTAGTTATGTGGGAGTAAAAATAAGAATTATTTTGTTAGCTGTGATTTTCATGTATTTGCATTCTACACTTATTTCCCCTGTTAATTAGTATCACGGAATGTCTCTGAGTCGGTATATTATCCCTCCTCAGCATTCCAGGTAATAACTGAAATTCAGGGCAGGTACTGTATTACAAAGCTCATTGATAAAGTTAATTAATGTAATCCAAGTTAACTCAAGACTGGTGTATGAAACAGGAAGTTCTTCTTCCACGTTATTATCACAGATCATGTGTGTGTGTCTGTGTATATGTGTGTCTGTGTGTGGGGGGGGCTTTTGATGGCTGAATTCCTTGTATTTTGTATTGCTTTGGCTATAATACAATTTCTTTTGCTACTGTTAGGGCTTTTATTATTATTATTATTTTTACACTTCTGCAACCAATTACCTAATTACATATCTGGTTTCCTCCTAAAATCTGTACTCTCTCATTTAGTGAAATCCTTCAAGAAAGAAGCACTGTATTTTATTTTGTTGATAATAACTGTATTTTTGATGCTGCTTTCTGAATTTCTCTGAGTCTATGCCTTTACCACTTGTTTATGTAATAGTTCTCAAAGTTTTAAGTCTTTAGCATGTTTTGAAACCCTTAAATTTTTGAACTATGCTTGAAAAGATTAAAATGCACAAGGAAGTATCACACTAGTTATGTGGTAGCTCTTTGCCCTTTTGTCTTTGTTTGGCTTTGAAGGCTAAACTTCCAGATGTAAGGGCTCAGGAGTAAAGGCTTTCCCACATTCCATAAACACCTTTTTTTGTTTTTATTTTCACATTAAGCCCTCTCGTCCTGACTTACCTTTTCATCTGACATGACCATTTAATCTTAATATTTCATGCCAATATGTTCAGCAGAATAATAAATGACCTCATTTGTAATAAAAATTATCATTAAATAAATTAGACTGCACTCATATGAAGAATTTTCTCTAAGCAATCTGCAAAAGCATTTTCTGCAATGTGTAAACATCGATTTTCTTTAGGTTTCTTTTACAGTAAATTTTCTCTTGCCCTTAAACTGAAAGCCATACTGCTATAGTAATTCTCAACACTGCTATGTGATACAATATACCAGCATAAATTTCATTAACTTAGTTTTCTATCGGGTTCATTGTACAATATTCGACTAGGGAATAGAGAAAATTCTAAGAAACAGAAGTAAATAGTCAAAAGTAAATAGTTTGTTCAAAATTGTTCTCACTTTTTATGCAGCTATTACTGTCTTCCTAAGAAACATGAGATTAAATATTTTGAATTATTACCTTACAAAATTTCAATCTCTTTCTTCAGGTAGCCAGTGTAAATATCAATAAAGTTTCTAATAAAGTATTTTTTAGTTAGGTTTTATATCCCCCAGTTAAATAAAATCTAATAGCAACATAGCACAGCAGCCTTGCTTCTTATGTCATTATTTATATTGTCATTCAAATTTCTCCCTGGCTTCTGGAAGTTAAAATGGTTGAGTTCTAGAACTGCGAGTTTATTTAGGAGACAATTCTAGTGCTAATTTCCTCCAGGCTTTGATAAAGTCTTACCCTAAGGAAATATCTGTATAAATTCCCCTAGGCCCTATTCTAAAGAGTTGTTTATTTGTTTGTTTTGTTTTTGTTTTTGTTTTTAATACATGAAGATTGTGGTACATTTTTTGAAAGATACTTTTTTTATACGTAGTTAAGGTTTTTCTCTTCCTCCCTCAAACAGAAGCTATTGTGATTATGTCAAATTGTTATTTCAATTCAATTCTATTTTACGTCTCTTCCCTGATCTGTAAAATTATTACTTGTGACACCCCTTATATCTGGAAAGGTATTTCTACAGATATAAAAGTGAGCAATCCAGAGCATGATTTAGTTGTTTTATTTGGGGTGGGGAAAAGGTGAGTAGTCAACTTAAAAATTCACATTTCATCGTATTCTGAGAAGTGTTTATATCTAAAATTTTATTTGTGAACGTAAAATCTTTAGTATTAGAAATACAATAAAAATACTTTGCATAACTTAAAAATTTGTTTTCCAAGGTTGAATCGATTATATCTTTAAAGTGCCTGGAAAAAAAAACCCCTTAACTTCTAATTTAATGTAGATAAAAACTGCTTTATTTCATGACTATTTGTCAACCTAGCATCCACCTCCCTTTTTCTAAATAACCCTTAAATACATCATCCTTACATTCCATTCATTACTTCTAGTCTTTCACTGCCTTAATTTCTGAATTCTTCAAAACCATTTTCCATCAATCACTACACCCTTAAACTCTGGGAAACAGCCTTTCTCCCTTTTTGTTTTTCATAATATATTTTGTAGAAAATTTTTTGGGGTCCCAAGATGTGGTAGGTATTTTCGAGTTGTAGCTTCATATATACAGTTAGATAACCCACAGAAGCAGAGAATCATATTATTATCATTGGGTATAGTACATGCCTGTTTTTTATTTCTTCTCTACAATGATAATATTCTAAAGTATAACTGAAGCACGGAACAGAGACAAAAAAAAATCCAAAAAAAAAAAAAAAAAGGGAACAAAGACACGTTTGCCCTGAAGAAGACAATCACAATTAGGTGTATTAATTCTTGTTATTATATTTAGTTTCCTAAAGGAGTTCCAGAATACCCACCTATTTTAAAAAGAAAATTATATGAATCCAAGTGACAAGAACATTAGTCAGAAGCAAATGTGAAATAGTAGTTTCTATTGGCAGGGATTCAGAAAATAGATGCCAATGTTTCTCAACCTTAATTGTAGTGAAAAAGATAAATAACCACGCAAAAATTCTAGCAGAAGGAGTAGCATATTGTATCTGCCCAATCCTTATGACATAAGCTATAATTATTTGTCCAAATCATCAACTTTGAAGATCAGATTTTTAGGGTACAAGATATTATTAGTGAACGTCCCATAATACATCTATGGCAGAAACCTCTCCATATAGAATGGCATACTGTGCTCACAAAATAAAAAGGTGCTTCTGAGGGTAAAACATAATAATGCTGACTGGAAATGTTACCTAAAAATTAAGAGTTTTAGGATTTTTTTCTCTATTGGTCACACTCCCAATTCATCTGGAAAATACAGAAAAGGATAAATAAAGAAAAAAATATATATCATAATTCCACGTTTCATAGATAACCATGTTAACATTTTCCTACAATCCTAGAGCTTCATTTCATCACACTCTATTTAAAATTCTAAGTCCTGTTTTATTTTTTAAAACATTATACAGTAGTTCCCTCTGAGCCATGGGGAATATGCTCTGAGAACCCCAGTGGATGCCTGAAACTGTTGATAGTGCCAAACCCTATATATACTATGTTCTTTTGGTAGAACAGAGGATACTAGAGGTTGAGAAGAGTAGGGGGAAGAAATGACAGCTAGATAGGAGAAATAAATTCCAGTGTCACTACCACTGTAGGATGACTATAATTAATAATAAGACATTATGTAGTTTCAAATGGCTAGAAGGAGCACTGTGAATTTTCCCAACGGCAAAAAAATAAACGTTTAGGATGACGGATATGCTGATTATTGATTACCCTGATCTAATTACTATAGATTATATGTGTCAAAATGTCACTATATGTCCTGTTAATAGGTACATACAGTTATTATCGTATGCCAATTTAAAACTTAAATGTAAAAGAAGAGGAGAAACACAGATTACCACGTTTTAATTATAATAGGTCATTCTGCCACTGACTGAAGAAGGAATAGAGGTACTATAAAGAGGAACAATGACCACTATGGCTGAATTTGTAAAAAGTGTGTTTCTTCATCATGTACACTTAAAATTGAACATCTTTCAAATAATAAGACACTCTTCAAATTATCAAGAGTAAATTTAAGATTTTTTATTACAAAAAATACAAACTTACCAATGATAAAGTTTAATTCAGAAGTTAAGCACAATAAAGACTAACAACAACAATAAAACAATTATAACAATTCTCAGAAGAATGCACAATTGTACACACGAATTTTTTATATATGTTATTTTTTTCTTTAATATTTTCAGGCTGTGGTTTACCAGGAGAAACTGAAAAAGCAAAAAGGGACACTTCAGATAAAGGTGGACAACTGCAAACAAATTTATTCCTTAGAAATTATGGTGTTTGGGTCAATTATGTTTAAGTATATTCCAATATGATAATTTACTTATGGAGTTTTCTTTTTTATTATGTTAGTCTTTAAAACACTATTTGTGTGATTTTTTTTAGATATACACTATTTTCTTAATTTATTGTTTATGTAACACAGTCAATAGGCCAAATCTCTAAGTTGTATGAGGTCCAATTGTTTTACCAATTAGTTATGCTAATTTTCCTTTCCACAATGATTCCAGAGTTAGCACATTGACATTAAATATTTTGCTTTTTTCTTCGCTAATTTGTAAGCATAAAACTGTACATGGTTGTTTTATTGTAATACATATTGTATTATTGTTAAAATTTCTTTTATTCTACCTTTTAAATCTTTTAAAATTAATAAGGATTATTGCTTTTTTGAGATACATATGTCTTCAAACTTTTTTCATAATTTATTTCATTGCTTTTAAATTTTATCCTGCTTCCTCCAGAGATATCATAATTGATCAAATATTCTTATATTTTAATGGTGTTATTTTTATGTTTCATCATTTTATCAAATGAGAATTAATTTTTGATAAGGCAGATTTCTTAAATAATCATATATTGAATAACTCTGTCTTTATAATATATTGGAAATGTTTATTGTATACCAAATTAAAGTATTTTATGTAATGTTATTTGTTTAAACTCTATTCATTTAGTTCTCATGATCTTCATATTCACTTCATAGCAGCATCACTTCTTTTAAGTTATTCTAGTTTTCAATATGTAATAATGTTAGGACAAATCTTAATCCTACATCACTATTCATAGTCAAAATAAATAACATTTCCTCCTTTTCATTTTTTTCTTCTGGTTATTATATCACATTCATATTATTAGTATTATTAATTCAAAAATTAATTTTTCGTGTTTCTCCTATAATGATTGCCCCAAAAATATGATTTTTGAAATTAAGATTACATTAAAACATTATAAGTTGAAAAGTACCTTTGTGTTTTTCAGCCTTTTTATTCACGAAAGTTTATAATTTTTAATTTATACCATACATTACTAAGAATAAATGAGATACTAGAAATAGTATATTTTGATGCTTTTTTTATGGCTACAAAATAGTTCATATAATTTATTCAACTGTGATCCATTTGATTATTATTTACTTTACATTTCTTTTAAATTTTAAGATTTTACAAATTACAATATAATTTTTATGATGCATAGCTTATATATGTATTTATACTCTTTTAATTACTGTAGAAAGTTTCTTAGAAAGAATGATGATTAGGTCAAAGGCTATACATATATAGACAATTCTAATTTGTACTTTCTCATTATTTTTACAATAATAATTCCAATAATCTACATTTCCAGCAAAGTATAAGATTTCCCTCATTTTCTATAGTTGCATACATTGAAAGCTATCCGTTTTAAAAATTTGCGTGATAGTACTGAGTAAAAATTTACGTTTGTTGGTTTTGCCTTCCTACATTTCCCTCCCTTCCTCCCTTCCTCCATCCTCCCTCCCGCTTTCCTTCCCTTTCTCTTTCTTTGTCTTTCTTTCTTTCTTCTTTCTCTTTCTTTCTTTCTTTTTCTTTCTTTCTTTTTCCTTCTTTCTTTCTTTTTCTTTCTTTCTTTTTCCTTCTTTCTTTCTTTTTCTTTTTCTTTCTTCTTTCTGTCTTTCTTTCCTTTCTCTCTCTCTCTCCCTCTCTTCCTCTTCCCCTTCCCTTTCCCTTTCTTTCCTGATTAAACATAAGACATTTATTTCTCACAGTTCTGGAAGCTGGGAAGTCCAAAATCAAGGTGCAGGTAGATCTGTTGTCTGGTGAGGGCATTCTTTTTGGCTTGAAGATAGATGTCTTTTTGTTGGATCCTCACAAAGTGGAGAGAAAGAGACTAGAACTCTTTCTCATGAGGGCTCCACTCTCAAGACCTCATCTAAATCTAATGACCTTTCAAAGGCTACACTTCCTAATACCACCCGTTTTGGGGCTAGAGTTTTCACATATGAATTTTGGGGGAATATAAACATCTACATGTCATTTGTTTTTACTCATTTCACAAATATTTATTGAAGGACTCTCAATTGCTGCTGATTGGTAATAAAGACATAAATAGTGAACTAACAGACGTCATTATTTTGGAGCTTACATTTAGTTCAGGAAGACAAATAATGAGTAAATAATTCATAAATAAGATATTTTAGTTAGACATAAAGTGTTATAAGTGAAAAATACTTAACAAAACTCAGGGAGGGTGGACTACTTGGGTTCTTTATATGTCAGGGACTGAAGTGATGACTTGGATGCTAGTCTCTAAAAAGCCAGGTAAAGTACTTCTCAAGCCATGGGAAGAGTAAGATAAAAGACACTATTAGAATTGTATTTTTATAACACATTCACACTCACGTTCCAGTCCAGATACTTATTAGTTGAATATTTATGTCAGTGGTTATAGTCTTGGGCTCTGAAATCTAATAGCCATGGATTTAATTTTTAACTTCTCTAATCCTAAATTTCCTATCTTTAAAATGTAGTTAATGTTATGTACTTTACCAAGCCACTATAGAAATTACACACATAATATATAAAATGTCTATTAAAATATTTATTTTCATTAACTATTGATGTTATTGTTATTACTGTCAAGTAGAGACAGCTGATACAAATGATTGTGACCTGGGATTTACAGTTACAATATATAGATGAACATCCAATTTCTGCCTCATAACAGCTGCATAGCCAACTTATTAATCATTTATGAAACAGATTGGTTTTGTCTTATCTTTGCTTATTCCTGGAGACCTGTTTGGTATCCAGTTTCTTCCTGCACTAAGATCCCCCCTTTCATCACTATGATACATTAATTAATCCATAAAATTACTCAGTCATTGAGTACCTATGCTTGGTC
This sequence comes from Homo sapiens, assembly GCF_000001405.40. Classification (NCBI taxonomy): domain Eukaryota; kingdom Metazoa; phylum Chordata; class Mammalia; order Primates; family Hominidae; genus Homo; species Homo sapiens. Next base: position 39,176,563 of record NC_000011.10, on the reverse strand, counting down.
AGAGATCTCCAACATAAAAATTGTCTGGTAACCCTCCTAAACCCTTGTCTATCTCTTAATTTCTTACTGGTATAATATTCCCTTTCTTCTTCTCTTTGACAGTGTCCCACAAAGCAACTAGAATTTCTCCCTGCTGGCTATTCCCTGAGAGTTCATTTTTTTAGAAATCGGTCTTATTGGCGGGGCGCGGTGGCTCACGCCTGTAATCCCAGCACTTTGCGAGGCTGAGGCGGGCGGATCACGAGGTCAGGAGACTGAGACTATCCTGGCTAACACGGTGAAACCCCGTCTCTACTAAAAATACAATCTCTCTCTCTCTCTCTCCTCTCTCCTCTCTCTCTCTCCCTCTCTCAGAGAGGGAGAGAGAGAGAGGAGAGAGGAGAGAGAGAGAAAGAGAAAGAAAGAGAGAAAGAAAGAAAGAAAGAGAAAGAAAGAAAGAAGGAAAGAAAGAAAGAAAGAAAGAAAGAAAGAAAGAAAGAAAGAAATAAATAAATAAATAAATAAATAAATCTGTCTTATTGCCAGGCTCTATTTCTAGACTTGTCCCTTTGCCCCAGTGAAGGCAAAATCTTATAAGTAAATATTTTATCTGCAACAACTATTCAGCAAATGAGATTACAATTGCTTGTATTTTTGGTAGACCTAGAAGTTACTCACAGAAGTTATACCAGTATGAGTTATTGTTTTGAAAAAGATAGACTTGAAAAAAGACTACTACAATGAAATTATTAAGAAAGCTCGAACTAAATTTTAGCTGAACTGTCTTATTTGGAAGATTATTTATAAAATTATATATTTGCAATTCTTTTCTCAGAGAAAATTGTAAAAAGCAAAGATAGATTTTCAGAAACAATATTCATTTATGCTCTACGGCAACTTAATAATAATAACAGAATATGATTGTAACAAGTCACATATTGATGGCTAGGAAGAAACTTATTCCAGTAAATAGTAAGTAGGATATGATATAATCATATCAATTGGAACTACACCCAGAAATAAAATAAAGCTAACTGCCACAGCTGACTTCAACTGAAAATATAGTAATTAAAAAGACTGAAAAGAGAAATCTGTATTGCTAGAATATTAAACTATTTCAATAAATTATAAAAACAACATTTGATGGGCAGTTATGTTTAATGTTAAAATAACATTACCTTTTATCTCAAGTGAAATCAGCCACATTGGTATGAAAATTTCTTTGGGTATACTGTTTAGCTCCTAGTTTGTGGTAAATGGCTTTTGAAAATATGCTTCTTAGATGTTAAAGCTAGAGAAATCTTGATAGGATTATATTCAATATAAACAAAAGAGCTTGAGAGAAAAAAGACACATGAACACACACACACACACACACACACACACACACAAACTTTACGAGATTTGCCTATTTTTCAAAGCCCTTAGTAACTCCTGTTTGCTCAGTGCAAATCAACTATTTCTCAATTTTAAAGGCACAGTAACCATCTTTCTTTACATCCACATTGTAATTATTACTTCTCACAAATCTGTATTTTAGCTTAATTCTTACATAAATGGCAAACTTCCTGTCTTTGACACTCCTTGACTATGAGATTGACTGTGTTAGAAGCCACACGTAATTTTTGTTAGTTTACATTTGCATCATATTTTCTTTCATTTTCCCGGAATTGTGATTATGTTCCAAACTCAGGATCTGGTCATAAGCTTTAATTGTTGGTGCTTTTCTAGGAGATAAGAATGCATTTATTTTCTCATCATATTCTTTAGGCTCTAGTAACTTTGAATCTTAGAAGGATCTGCAGTCATTACAATGGCTAATCATATTTTTTGAAAATGTAAAAATCAATCCAATTCTGAAATTAATGTAGTGTTGTTTGGATCTCTTTATATCAGTGCAGGAAACATAGTTCCTTAAGAATCAAAAAGAGAGAAAATGGGCAAAACGGCACAGGCTCCAGGTACATAGAGTTTGTCTAATTTGAGAAAGGAGCTATCAGATAAATATATAATAAAAAATATATAAATATATAATAAAAAAGATCACACACACACACACACACACACACACACACACTGAAGTTGGAATAGTGAGAGAGAACCCTGTCCAAGGATCCTCAGTGTATCTGAAACAGTATCCAAGGACATTCTAAGGATATATGGTTCTACTGCCAAGTTTTACTCTGGAGCCTCAAGTTAAAATTCCCATGACTAGGCTACAGCTATTTAGAAATCCACAGCTGGGCAATTCACTAGCAAAGAGACATATATATATTATTTGGAAAGGCAGCAAAGACTGAAAATCATTAGGTAAACACCAGCTGGCAGACAAGATAGAAGAGCAAAAAAGAAAAAGACAGGTGATAGAGACAGATGGAAAAACCAGGATGGAGAAAAGGTATTAATATAAGTGTGTCAGGGGTACAAATTCTATAACTTATGAGCAGGGCCTGCAAGTTAGGCATTGTAAGTATTAAAATTATGACCATGCAATTAAGATTATTGAGCTAAGTAACTGACAGGAAAGAAACAGGCAGATATTCACAAATATATGAAATGAAGACAAACATTTATGGAGAGGCCGAGCACAGTGGCTCACACCTGTAATCCCAGCACTTTGGGAGGCCGAGGCAGGTGGATCGCAGGGTCAGGAGATCGAGACCATCCTGGCAAACATGGTGAAACACCGTCTCTACTAAAAATACAAAAAATTAGCCGGGCATGGTGGAACATGCCTGTAGTCCCAGCTACTCAGAAGACTGAGGCAGGAGAATGGAGCCAACCTGGGAGGCAGAGCTTGCAGTGAGCCAGGATCACGCCACTGCACTCCAGCCTGGACAACAGAGCAAGACTCCGTCTCAAAATAAATAAATAAATAAATAAAAACCCCAAAAAATTTATGGAGAAAAAATGGATAAAAAGAGAAATTGAATGATGCATACACTTTATGTTTTCTTGCTACAAAGACTACATCTAAAACAGGATAAATAAAGCATGATGCATGGAGATTGTCCTCTATATAACAACATTTAGATAGATAGCCCTATTCCATTTAGATAAGCCTACTATTTTCCATTACTTAGAAAGGAACTGAGATCAAATCAGTTTTAAATCTGTGATGAAATGGTTCTGTTCTGCTTATTCCTTAGGTGAAATTTCACACAGTGTAATCCTCTTATTATGAAAGTCAATTTGAAAATCCCGACATCTGAGCGGAGTACTGAAGATGACATTGCCCAGAATCGACAAGAAACTGTCCATTCAAAAATAAATAAATAAATAAATAAATAAATGTATTGATTATTATGTTCCTGACATGGGCTAGGCACTGAGGATTCCATTACAAACAAAAGGGAAAAAATGTGGTCTTTATTCTTATGCAGCTAAAGTTTAGAGATGGAGAAAGAAACAATTTCACAAATTAGTGTAATAGATACAAGTTGTGATAAAAATCAATGAAGAAATAATGCAAAGTCTTGTGCAAGTATATAGCAAGTGAAGGTGGGGAGAGGCTGAAGTGCTGGGGTTTGGGATGAAAAAGAAGGCTACCCTGAAAATAGCTGGATTCCTGATTGAAGTAGAACTAGGAATCCACACAGGAGTGGGGAAGATAGAAATAGAGGATGATGGTTGGTGGAGTACATTTAAAGCAAAGTAAGGACCAGTGGTAAAAACACCTGCCTGGGAGGATTATCAATAAACCAATGGTTGTTATTTGTTAGAATGAATGGGTGTACGGTGTAGGAGGAGGCAGGAGGAGCATGCAGGGATAGATTATGATGGCTTTTGACATTCAGACCATGTTTTGACAGTACAGGTGATGATATGTGCATAAATCATAAAACAAATTTAAACAGAATATTCATAGAGGCCTTAGTAGAGTCCTATGGAAGGACAGTACAAGGAGGGATAATTCTTACTGATAGGTTAGTGAAAGCTTCATGGAGGAGGTTATATGTATGTAGGGCCTTGACAGAAAGGTGATATTTTAATTGGAGACTTGAGATGAGATGCACAGGTCAAAAGAATAATTGTTGCAAAAACACAGAGGAAGATATGACTGGGATTGGAAATAATGAGACTATGTGAATGGAGACAGTTGGAGATAGGACTGAAATTATAGACTGGAGTCAGATTGCAGAGAATTTTGAAAGCCTGACAACGCTGGTGACATGAGAACTTTTTATTTGATTATACCTTATTTTGTAAGCAAGGAGAAAATGCACTATTTAGAGCATGAGATTTGGGTTTCAGTCCCAACCCTTTACTTACCAGCTGTGTAATTTGACAATCTACTTAATATGTATTTACCTATTTTCTTCATTGAAAATACAGAAAATGACATCATTGGGATGATACAAGAACTAAATGAATATTCAATAAGATGAAGATTAAAAATATTTAGCTTAGAGATTGGCATATAAAACCTTAATAAATATTATTAATATTAATAAAATCATTTTACATCAGCATGTGGAATATTTATATATACAGTATAGAGGGCTTAAAATCAGTAATTGAAGCCACTGTAGAAAATAAGAAGTGACGAGAACTTGAGTAATGGCTATTGGAGTATAAAGGAGGGCAATAATATTCCATAGACGATATGAAGGAAAACCAAATGCTACTTCGTACCTATTATCACTACAAGGGCACTAAGCTCTGAGAAGTAAAAAATGCCTATGTTTAAGTAACTGAAGCTTAGGAACATGTTGTTTTGCCATTAATTGAAATCAGAGCACAGAGGAAAGGAACCTTGTTGAGGAGGCAGGAGTTGGTAAGTGTGAACAGCATTCTCTGGGTAGTGAAAACAAACATGTCTGATAAGAGAGGATATGCATTATCGATGACTCGAATTCAATTTGTTCATTTACCCTATAAAAGCTATCAGAAAGGCCAGGCGCGGTGGCTCACGCCTGCAATCCCAGCACTTTGGGAGGCCGAGGAGGGTCAATCATCTGAGGTCATGAGTTTGAGACCAGCCTGGCCAACAGGGCGAAACCTCGTCTCTACTAAAAATACAAAAATCAGCTGGGCAGGGTGGCATGCACCTGTAATCCCAGCTACTCGGGAGGCTGAGGCAGGAGAATCTCTTGAAGCCAGGAGGCGGAGGTTGCAGTGAGCCAAGATCGTGTCCCTGCACTCCAGCCTGGGTGACAGAGTGAGACTCCGTCTCAAAATAATAATAATAATAATAATAATAATAATAATGATGATGATGCTATCGGAAATAAAACCATTGTGGTTAAATTTATCTCATGATGTATTGTTAATTTACCTCATGATTTATCGATTTATTTATTCAACCTGCTGCCTGTGACAGCTTGAAACATACCACAGACACAAACACAATTATGTGCAATTGTAGAAGCTGTAATTTTTTGTTTTATTTTTTATAAACTATAATGAATGCAAAATATATAAAATATAAATGTACAGCTTAACAAATTATGATAAAGAGAATACTTGTGTCACTATATAGAAGAAAAAGAGCAGGAACATTGAAGCCTCAGAAGCCTCCCTCCATTCTCCTTCTCAGTCACCTCTCATTTCTCTATTTCCCCAAGTTTTACATTAATTAATATGTATAAATTCATCTATTCATCTTCAAAACCTAACTATCTTCAAAACCATTCTTTTTGACTTTTTTACTTTTAAAGTTAATGTATATGAAATCAAACACTATGAATTCTCTTCTGCCTGGTTTCTTTACTTCAAACTTTTATGTTTCATCTGTTGGGTTGCTTGTATTTGTAGTTGTTCATTTTATACCTGTGTAGTATTGCAATGGATGAATACACAACACTTTATTTATTACTTATATCTTTTAAGGGCATTAGGGTTGTTTCTATTTGGTGACTATTATAAATAATATGTGTAGACTATATAAGTTTGATGGTGCAAAAATACATTCATTTCTGTTTGGTTAACATATTGCAATTGAGTTGCAACAGCATCACTTAAGCATATATTCAATTTTATTAGACAATGACAAACTATTTTCCAAAATAATTAGGACCATTAGCCAATGATGTTATGGATGAGTGTTCCTGGTTGTATACCTCACAGCCCACATTTCGCATTATAATTTGTTTTATTTATTTATTTATTTATTTAATTTTAATTTTTATTTTATTTTATTTTTTTTTGAGACGGGAGTCTCGCTCTGTCACCCAGGCTGGAGTGCAGTGGCACGATCTTGGCACACTGCAAGCTCTGCCTCCCAGGTTCATGCCATTCTCCTGCCTCAGCTTCCCAGGTAGCTGGGACTACAGGCATGAGACACCATGCCCGGCTAATTTTTTGTATTTTTAGTGGAGACGGGGTTTCACCGTGTTAGCCAGGATGGTCTCGATCTCCTAACCTCGTGACCCGCCCGCCTTGGCCTCCCAAAGTGTTGGGATTACAGGTATGAGCCACCACACCTGGCCTGTTTCATTTATTTTAATAGGTGTGAAATGGCCTATCATTGTGATTTTGAATTCTTTGAGAACATTTTGCCTGTATTTATTGGTTTTCTACTACTTCTAGATTTCTAAATGTTTTTATTTTGAAAGGATTTAGACCTAATTTAATACTTTATTATTTCTTGTGTCTGTTTTGGTAAGTTTTATTTTTCTATAATTTGTCTATTATGCATAATTTTTCACCTTATTTAAATAATATTTTTCGTATTATATTCTAATTAACATTTGAATGTGTAAAGTATATGTAGCAATGTTCTTTTCGTTTCTGAATTGGTTATTTGTAACTTTTCTCATTTTATCTGATCATTCATAATAGATATTTACAAATCATATCAAGCTTTCGAAAATAATTTTCACTTATTTTTATGATCATCTAAAATTGTAATTATTTAATTATATTAATTTATGTTTTTCACATTCTTATTTCTACTTAATTTATATTACATTTCTTTTTCTAACTACACACTAATTTTCAGCAATTCTTTCATCTTATACATGCATGTATCACTTTGAGATCCTGATTTCAGTTCTTTTAAATAAATACCTAGAAGTGGGGTTGCTGGATCATAGGGTAGCTCTATTTTTAATTTTTGAGGAACACCCATACTGTTTTCCATAGTGGCTGCAGCATTTTGCATTTGCACCAATAGTGTGCAAGAGTTCTGATTTCTCCACATCTTTCCCAACACATATTGCATTTTTTTTTTTTTTTTGAGATTGACAATAGCCATCCCAACAGATTGAGAAGATATCTCATTGTGGTTTTGGTTTGCATTTCTCTGACGATTAATATCATTGAATATTTTCTCATATGTGTTATCCATTTTTATGTCTTCTTTGGAGAAATGTATTTCCAAGTTGATAGCTTATTTTTAAAATCAGAGTATTAGCTTTGCTACTGTTGAGTTATAAGAGTTCTTCATATATTTTGGGTATTAGCCATTTATCAGATGTGTGGTTTGCAAAAAAAAAAAAAGTATCCCATTCTATATCTTATACCATACAGAATAATCAACTCAAATTAGACTAAAACTTAAAGGTAAGAGCCAAAACTATGACACTCCTAAAAAACTGGGAAAAAAACTTAATGATGCTGACGTTGGCAATGATTTTATGAATATGATACCAAAAGTACACAGGTAACAAAGCCAAAAATAAACAAGTGGAACTAAATTAAGCTAAAAATCAGGACAGCAAAGGAAGCAATTAACAGAATAAAAAATCTACCTATGGAATGAGAAAAATATTTTCAAATCCTATTATCAACAACTCACATTAGTATCATACAATTATTTGTTAAGTTATGGGCCTATATTTGATACATTGTTATTAGCTAAAGTCCATAGTTCAGATTCTTTATGTAATTCGTTATTGTTGTTGTTGTTGTTCCAGGACCTCATCCAGAATACTACCTTATATTTACTTGTCATCTCCCTTTAGATTCCTCTTGCCTGTGACAGTTTCTGAGACTTTCCTTGTTTCTAATGACCTCGGTATGCATTTTGTAGGACGCCCCTCTCTAAAAAATTCACCTGATGTTTTTCTCACGATTAGACAGAGGTTATGAATTGGAGGAAAGAAGATCCCAGAAGTAAAGTGCCATTTTCACCTACATGATGTATGACTCTTGATAATGACCCTCATCACCTTGCTGAGATACTGTTTGTTATCTTTCTATACTCTGAAGTGACACTTCCCCTCTCCCTTTCTACACTTTATTCTTTGGAAAAAAGTCACTGTGCACAGTTCACGTTTAAGAAGAGTGTATTCATATTACCTCTTCTAGAGAGGTAATTATCTTAGCATATTTTCAAATATTGACCTATCTGTGTATAATTGGATAAATGCTACTAGGTTGTACTTTATTTTTATATTTTGTTTGATTTGATATGCTAACATTTATTGAGGATTTTGCATCTACATTCATGAGAGATATGGTCTGTTGTTTTTCTTTCTTGTAATGTCTTTATCTGTTGTGGTATTAGAATAATTCTATCCTTGAGGATATGTAGGAAATGTTTCCTCCATCTCTGTTTTCTGGAAGAGATTGTAGAGAATTTGTGTCTTTTCTTTCTTAAATGTTTGGTAGAATTCACTAATAAATTTTCTAGGCTTGTTGCTTTCTTTTTTGGAAGGTTATTACTTTTTGACTCAATTTCTTTAATAGATACAGGCCTATTTAGGCAATCTCTTTATCTTTCTGTAAGTTTTGGAAATTTGTGTCTTTCAAGGAGGTGGTCATTTTTGTCTAAGTTATCAAATTTGTGAAAAAAGAGTTGTTCATAATATTCCTTTATTTTTTTAATGTCCATAGGATCAGTAATGCTGACCCCTCTTTTATTTATGTTATTAGTAATTTGTGTCTTCTCTCTTTTGTCCTTGGTTAACTTGGCTAGAAGTTTGTCACCGTTAATGATCTTTACTAAGAACTACCTATTAATTTTGCTGATTATTGTTACACTTTTCCAATTTTATTGATTTCACTTTTGTTTTTACCACTTCTTTACTTCTGCAAGCTTTAGGCTAAAGTTGCTCTTTCTCTAGTTTCCTGAGATGGAGGCTTAGATCACTGTTTTCAGGTATTTATTCATTTTACTAATATTGATTTAATACTATAAAATTATTACTAAAGATTTTGTTATATCAACATAACTTGATATGTTGTATTTCATTTTCATGTACTTCAAAATATTTGTGAAATTTATTTTTGACACATTTTATTTGATAATTGTGTCATTTAAAGGTGTGTTGTTTAATTTCCATGTACTTTAGAATTTTCTAGTTATCTTTCTAGTATTGATTTCTAGCTTATTTCCATTGTGGTCTGAGAACATATTGTATAATATTTTTATTAACTTACATTTATTATGATATGTTTTACGGTCTGGAATGTGATCTATTTTGGTTAACATTCCATGTGAACTTTGAAAATCATGTATATTCTAATAATGTTGTATGGAGTATTCTGTAAATGTCAATGAGGTAAAGCTGAGTGATAATGCTATTCAGGTCGATGATATTTCTTTCTAAAAGTTTTGAGTATAATAACTTCTTAAACTTAGTAGCTATTTTGAAAATGAAAACAAATATGCAAATTATCAAAGCCTAATATTGACATTTTGAAATTGTTCAAGGAAAATGAAGTATTTAGAGCCTATAATTCTAAATATACCTAATAATTTATAATATTTTTTCTGCATTATTAGTAGTATTTTATAAAGTCAGTGTTTACTTAAGTTCACTCCACTATATATGTTTTCATTATGTTTTATTCTTTACACACTTCCAAAATCCATTTGGCATAATTTTCCTTTATTTTCAAGAATATTCCTAAGAATCCCTCTTATTTTACTTCTACTGCTAGTAAATTATTTGTTTTTGTTTTCCTAAAAATGTCTTTATTTCAACAGCATATCTTCAATCATAATTTTCTTTGGCATAGAATTCTGAATTGGCAGTTATTTTCTTTTTCACAAATGATGATATCTTGTCACTATATTTTGGCTTCCACCACTGTTGAGAAATCATCTGTAAATGTCACTATTACTAATTTGAAAATAAGAGCTCTTTCATGTTTTTACTTGACCAGTTTTCTTTAGTTTTATTTTGATGGTTGATGTGTAGATTGTCTTTTGTATCCACTCTACTTAGCAGTAAAAAAAAAATCTTGAAAAAATGGGCTAGTCATATTCATGCATTTTAGAAAATTTTCATATGTTACCTTTTGTATTACTTCTGTCTCATCAATATACTCCTCATTTCTGGGACTTGAATTAATCATATGCTAGAGATTCACCAATATGCTATTTGTTTCTTTTCTCCTATATAAAAATTTCCGAACTTTTATCTCTAAATGTTGCATTCTATTTTGTTTGTTCTGGCCAAATGTCAAATGTATTGTTTCTCCTTTGCTTTGTATAATATGCTTTTGAGTATGTCCATTGAGTCTTTGTTTTAGATTGTTATGTTATCCATTGCAATAATCTATGTATTTTTCAATATGCTAAGTCTCTTTTTATTGTTTTTGGTACTCTATCCAATTATTGCATCTTAGTTTTTATCTCCTTGAATGTAGAAATAAATAATTTTTTTTTAAACTGAGTTTGGCTATTGTTGCCTAGGCTGGAGTGCAATGGTGTGATCTCGGCTCACAGCAACCTCCACCTCCTGGGTTCAAGTGATTCTCCTTCCTCAGCCTCCCAAGTAGCTGGGATTACAGCCACCCTCCACCACGCCCAGCTAATTTTTGTATTTTTAGTAGGGATGGGGTTTCACCATGTTGGTCAGGCGGGTCTCACCCCTGACCTCAGGTGATCAACCCGCCTTGGCCTCCTAAGGTGTTGGGATTACAGGCATGAGCCAAAGTGCCCAGCTGAAATAAATAATGTTATCTTCAGTCTCTGTCTGATAGTTCCAATATTTGTAATTTCTTTTGAGCTGTTCTCTTTATTCTTATTTTTGAAATTCCTGCTCATATCATTTTGCCACCTTCTTTTCCTCTTTACATTTGATTGTGTTTGTAGTATATTGTCACGGAAAAAGTACTCGCAGAGGTAAATTTGAGGATGAGGATTACGTTATCTGCAATGAGATTGTGTTTGTAGTATACTGTCATTGAAAAAGTACTTGCAGAGGTAAATTTGAGGATGAGGATTATGTTATCTGTAATGGATTTTTTACTCCAGAAATTGTTTGTAATTTACTTCTGCCTGTTATCTGTAGACTTTAGCAATGATTAATTACCTTAATTCAATTGCATGGTTTGGAATTGTCCAGACTATTCATATTATTTTATGATAGACTCCACTATGTAGGGATGTCAAGTTTATTACATTCAGCTTTACTCTTAGATTGGAATTCTTTGTGTTGCAGGAAGGGAGTGGTTACCAAAGTCTACTGCATTTACTTTTTTTTTTCTTAGTATTATGAGGCTGTCCAAAGTACAATCCAACCTTTCAGCCACTTCTTATGGATTGGCAAATACCCAGAACAAATTTAATCCTAAATGTTGTACCTTCATGACCCTTCTTCTATTCCTAGCAGACCAATGCCTCACTATATTTTTAACTCTTCACTTTATCTTATATATAAAAGAGTTAATTATTTAGTACCCTTATCAATAAGGGTAAATAGAACATTACCATAATTATTTTATTTCTAATTCAAATCTTTCCTATATATTTTGCTTGCAAGTTCCATTCAGTTAAATACAAACTGGTGTATTCCAGATGAATAGAAATATACAGCAGGTTTTTTTTTTCCAGAAAATAAGGAACAAAAATGTTATTTTTGAGGTTTAAAGACTATATAAATATGGAATATTTAAAAGTGTACTTATTGTTCATTACTTTTTACATTGGACAGCATAGTTTGTAATATTTTATAAAAGAATATTATATTATAATCATCATAATATTTGTGATCATTGCCCCTTCTGTGATAGGTGCTGTGCAGAATATTTTCTTTAATTCCCTGTATCTCATAACTAAAATTTAGATTTTAAGGATTTGGTATCCCTAACTCTACAAGTTAGAATTATTTTTTTTTAAAGGTAGGTAACTTATCCAAGGTGCACACGGCATGAAATAAATAAGGCAGAATTAAAAACCTTTTTATCTGACCCCAAATTATTTGTTCTTTACATATTTCCTTGATAAATTGATACATAATTAATAAAAGTAAATTTATCTAATATTTTAAATTGCTGTTGAGTAAATAGGAGCACACATATAAACTCAAATTGTATTTGAATAACTAAATGTGATTTTTTAAAAGAATGTATTGTACATTTCAACATTCTGTTTCTGTGTTTTCTATAAAATATTAATAATATAAATTATTTTATTGTTTTACTTAAATAACAATTTACTTAAATAACTTTTTACTTAACTTTTTATTTAAATAACTTTTTACTTAAATAAATTCAGAAATCTTTGATCAAAAATGTTCTCTAAAATTATAATAGGATTGATTTTCTGAGAACCTAATTATTTTTAAATCTTGTATTATAATTGCTTGTCAGTATCAAAATTCACTGGATCAATACTATGCAAACACATTAACTGATATGATATACAGTGTCTCATGTTCAGTAGAGAGACAGAAAAATGAGGTAAATTATTTTCAATCTCAGAGTACTAATTTTATTTGAATTATAAATTACTACCACTTTGTAGATCTAAAATTTAAAAACAAAAATGAAGACCAATTTACTAGCTCTGTATCAATTTTTGTTCTGTTTGTTTACTTACATGCATTATGAAAATTAAATGTCACAAGTTTTTTTTTTTACGGTGTAGCTCAGAGATGTTAAAAAAATTGTGTAATGTCATAAGGCCATTTTTTTTCCATCCCCCAAGTGTACCAATGAGTCACTCAAATATAGACCTCAACCTTTTTCATGAAGGAAAAATGCTTTATCTGACATAGCCACAGTTTGTGCTTTTTACGTCCCTTTACCATCATTGATCAACTATGTTTTATACAGATCATGATTTTTCATCTGCTCTTTATAAAATTCTTTATATATGATTTATATATTGTTTTATGTTTTATATGGAAACTCTTTCTCAAAAATGTGAAATTACTAATTTAAGATAACAGCTAGTACAAGAAGAGCAGCAAACAGAATAAAGGTCTCCAAAATGTATATACTTTCTTATATGGATTTGGTTAATTATCAAAATCAAGTTGATTTTATATCTAACCTTGAGGTTTGCATGGTGGATATGGATTATTATGCTGCTTTGGGCAGAAGTAGATATCTTTTATCCACAGAGTAATTCTTTGTTGTTGAAATTCCAAGCATACTTCAATATTAGGCAGATGAAATCACAAGACTCTAGCATACCTATTTCACCTATTGATAAAATCAACCTTCTAAATTACCAATAGCAAAGCATATTTAGCATTAACTCTGTTAATTCATGGAAGAAATATTTTGCCTAAATAACTAAGCTAGCACATTTTCTTTTAGAGTGTCAGACTAATTATATTTATTGATGAAAGCATATGAACACTTTGAGTGTTTGAATTTCATAAGGAATCAGCCAGGCTTACAGAAAAGTGCAGTGGTCTTTAATAAATATTTACCTCTTACTAAGTGCCATGTGCTGAGGATAAAATGAAGAATATGATGTAGTCTCCATTCTTTAGAATATCCTACTCTTGTAGAAAGACTTTCATTATTTAAAAATTCTAATAAGGATGGCCATAATCTTTCTCTTAGAGTAAGGTTTTGTTTTATTACAATGTATATATTATATATTTTATATATTTTATATATGTTTTATTAAAATATATATAACTGTGCTAGAGAACAGAATTTCATTCATTGGTCAGTTTTTATTATTATTAACGATAGCATTTACAATAGATTTTTGGTGCTAAATTATATCTCAGAACAGTATAAATGAAAGCATTCTGCCTATGAATCAAGAGACTTAAGCTTTTGGCTTACCTATCTTGATAACCGGCTGTGTGATGGTGAAGAATCATTGGCTCTCATTCTACCTCCACCAAGTAAGGAATGCAAAACAGATACTCTGTTGAAAATTTACAAGAAATTCAAAATTTAATGATCGAAAAGTATTATAAAGTGTTACTAAAATATTGATCAACATCTAAATTATACACAATTACAGTGTATTTCTTACCCTATTTCTACAAACATTGTATTTCTTAGAGGATGGGGTTATGTCTTAATGATTTTTTTGTTAACTCCTATAGTATTTAGCATGCTGCTGGTTGTGGAATATGTGACTAGGTCAAACCTGTATCCTTTTTTTTTTTTTTGTCAGCATCCAAAATCTTTTTAATAAAAGGGTAGGATCCAGGGTTATTATTATTTTTTTTGTTTGGAGATGGAGTCTCGCTCTGTCCGCCAGGCTGGAGTGCAGTGGCGCGATCTCGGCTCACTGCAACCTCCGCCTCCTGGATTCACACTATTCTCCTGCCTCAGCTTCCCCAGTAGCTGGGACTACAGGTACCCACCACCACGCCCGGCTAATTTTTTGTGTTTTTAGTAGAGACGGGGTTTCACAGTGTTAGCCAGGATTGTCTCAATCTCCTGACCTCGTTCGTGATCCGCCCCGCCTCGGCATCCCAAAGTGCTGGGATTACAGGCGTGAGCCACCGCTCCCAGCCCCGGGTTAGTTTTTGTGGCCTTGGTTGTCCAGTCGGCCTCTGGCACGCTCGAACTTCCGGCCCTTGGAGCGGACGTAGGTTTTGGTGCCGCGTTTCCGGGGCCTTGCGGAAATGCCGGTACACCTCTCGGCCTTTGAGAGGACCAGAGAGCAGGACGGTGCCACAGCCCTTGGGGGACTCTAGGGCCGCGGCGGGCCCGGCTGGTCATGCGCAGCGCACAAACCTTCAGTTTGGGCACCTCCTGAACCCGCACATCATCCCTTATAGTCCCCACAACCACGGCGGTTTTGTTTTCCCGGCCAGGAAGCTTCATCTTGCGGATTATCCGGAAAAGGGGCAGAGGTGGGCCCTTGGTGCGACTCCTAAACAACCTCTTCAGCACAACCTGGTTGAATGTGGAGTTGGTTCGTCTGGCCAGAAACCTGTACAGCTTGACCAACAGCCTCAGGTAGGTATCCGGGCTCTTGGGCTCCTTGCGGGGAACCTTTCGGTCCTTGTTGTGGAGGATGTCAACTCCTATGATGGCATCTCCTATCTTGTTTCTGTTATAATAGGAAAAACTGATGCTTTCAAAGAAATACCAAAAGGTGTTTCACATATTTTTCTCTGTATTTAATGATTTGATTTTGAAAATCTGAAAAATATGATATTCAATAATTATTTGCAATATAATTGGGCTATTTTTTTCACTAAAAACATAGATAACCTAATCAAAATTTGATTGTAGGCTTGCAAAAATATTGAGTGGTTGCAATTACCAACTACTAGTAATAAAATTACCAGTTTTGTTTTAATCATTCTTGAAAGGTACTTCTCCCTGATTGAAAGGATAATAAATCTCATATCTTATCTAAATGATATGCAGTATTTATTGACACAAAGAAAATTTGTTTATATATATATAAATTGATTTGGATGTATGGATGGATGTGTATACATACACATTGAGAAAATGTGTACATATTTCTGGTTAATGAATAAAATCTTAGTTGAAAAAATCAGTAAATATGTAAGTCATAAATAAATAGAAAATACAGCATGCGAAAGAACAAAAGCTTTATGAGAATTGACCTTTAATCAGAAACATTAAGTACCTTCTGATATTCTCTATGATGTGTGGATGATGAACGTAACCTTTAATATAGTTTATTAAAGTGAATACATTTGTAAGATTTCTTGCTAAATTGAAAACATGTCCTTAGTAAATTATTTTTAAGTAATAAATAACAGTTTATTATCATTGAGTGAATAAGAAAAGAGAGTCTAGAAATGCATGAAACATACAGTAGTAAGGGAAAACTAAAAAAAAAATGTGCCTATGTAGGAAAAAATGATAAAGATTATTAAAGATAAAATAGAGCATGGATAGTTATGATTTTTAAAGTTATTTTATTTTCAAAAGTATCAAATTAATTTCATGGGTCCACATGGAATTACATATCAATTTTATAGTCATTTTAATCAGAATATTAGTAAATATGTTTTAATAGTAATTAATAAATATTTAGAATGTCACATTTACGTGAGTAGCTTTCAAAAAATAAAGAGTAGACCTTATAATTTTCATCTTGTATAGGGACCTTTTTGTTTGAAGAGCTACATTTTTAAAAGTGTTTTTAATGAATACAAAAATGTCACAGAAATCAAATATTTCTAAATAGGTGCTTGCTAGCAAAATTAAATAGTAGTAAAATTAGCGTCCTTAATATTTTTTAAATAAGGTCACTGAAGAGATTTTTACATAATCACCAAGTGCATGTAATATATTCTGATGTAAGAAATTTGATATGACGTTGGATGGATAACCAGCCTTTAATACCTGGCATTTCTATTACCAAACTTTAAGATTTTTTGTTTGTTGGTTTCAAGAACTGATTCTTATTTCAGATATTATTTCTTCAAAAACTCTTCTCAAGTATTCATTTTTCTCTGGAAATATTTATTTTTCTTTAGAAAGTCAACTTTACATTATGTTTTATTTGCAATATATAAACACATATTTCAGATAATGAATACAGAATTATTTAGAAACCAGTCCTTCCCTTTGATTTGAATGGTACCATAACAATTAGGAAAAAGACTAGCCACAGCTCTAATATTTGATTTTGCTAGTGTTCAATTGAAAAGCACTACAATGTTTATTTTATTTATAATCATGGGACCCATTGTCAGAGATATAAAACTGACATGCTACTTGTTTCAAGGTACAGGTAATTTTTGTTGAATGTTTTAAATATATTTCTCTCTCTCCCGTGTGTGTGTTAGTGGATGGGGTTATTTTAATGTCAACAGAGATATGAGGTGTAGAATAAGGTAGAAGGAAAGATAAATATTTGAAACACCAATGGCCATTTCCTTCTACTAAGTCACTAAAATTTTTGTCAAAGAAAATTAACATTGCATGTACATCTATTTTATATATGAGTGTGCATATATGTAGTATGTGTGTGCTTATCTTTTGCTTATTTTGTTTTCTGTAACAAGGAGGAAGGTCTATTGCTTGAGAGCTGGGAAAGGATTTGCAAAGTATGTCTCACTGTGAGCACATTCTCAGGCAGATTATTTTCAGTAAAGTGTGCATATTAAGGATGAAGATTGGAAAAATGGGTTTCTTGAAACTGTCCATATTTGTATGCTCCTCAAAAAGTCTTCTTGTGCTCCACAGTATACACAGTGCTTGCTTGAAAATCAGTGAACCAGAGACTTAAAAAAAAATTTCACTAAGAAAATATGCTGCATCTGAACCCTAGAAAACCTTTTTATGAAGTTAAGAAGAGGAGGAGGTTTATAAATTAGACTAGGAAGAAACACCCAAAGATGTAGGAAAAAATGAAGAATAGTTAGGTGCACTAGAATCTGAGTGAGGAAACAGTTATGAGGAACTTCTCAACTGTGTCAAATGCCGATAAGAATTTGAGTTCAATGTGAATTTGGAATTGACTTTTTTTTCCAGGATGAATAGAAACACTTAATAACAGGGGAAGCTGTCATAAAAGCCAAATTGAAATGGGTCTCCAGAAATGAAAAGAGGATCTGGAGACAGGGTAGCTTCTTAAGGAAACTTTCTTCTGAATTTTGTTACATGGGATTGCATAGAAGTAGAATAGTAGTTAAAAAGACAGAATCAGGGGATGATTTTTCTTTCTTTTTAAGATTGTAGATCATAAAGCAGGTTTCTATCCAGATAGTAGCATTCAAGTAAAGCAAGAAAAGTTGATGAGACAAAACAGAAGCAGAAAATTATGGGCTGGGTGTGGTGGCTCACACCTGTAATCCCTGCACTTTGGGGGGCTGAGTCAGGCAGATCACTTGAGGCCAGGAGTTTGTGAACAGCCTGGACAATATGGTGAAACCCCATCTTTACTAAAACATACAAAAAAATTAGCCAGGCATGGTGGCGGGCGGCTATAATCCCCGCTACTCAGGAGGCTGAGGCAGGAGAATGGCTTGAACCCGGGAGGTGGAGGTTGCAGTGAGCCAAGATTGTGCCACTGCACTCCAGCTTAGACGACAGAGTGAGACTCTGTCTCAAAACACACACACACACACACACACACACACACACACACACACACAGAAAATAAATAAAAAATGAAAGAAGAAAATTATGGATGTGAAGTCCATCAGTAAGTGAGAGGGGATGGGATCCAGTGTACATCCCTGAAATGGGAGTAAGTACGCTCCAGTCAAACAACAGCATGGTTGGTAGAGTATACAGACACAGTTACAGATGTGGGAAGGGATAATTGTGAGTGTTCTCTTCTTAATTGCTTCAATAACGTAATAAGTAAGGTCCTAAGGTGAGAGTAAGGATGAAGGAGGTGTTATTGACAATTTGAGGAGAGACACTGGAAACCCGAGTTTTAGATCACTAGTAAATCAGCTCAGTTGTGTATTTTTCCTAGCTGATTCTCATTGCAACCACAGAAAAAGCCATGTGCTGGATCTTAGCATAGCTGTGTTTTGCTTGTAGACTACAATGAAGAAGAGTACAGTTGGCAGAAGGATTGTGGATATGTGTAAGGCAATGATTATAACAATAAACCGAAATAAAAGTGAGAATATGAGGAGAGGAAACAATAGAAAAATTTCATACAGTCAATATAAACTAGGTTTCTGTGGTGTAATTGTTGTGTGGAGTGACTAGAAGTGGTGAGTTGGAAACTTTGAAGACAGTGAAAAGAGAGTAAGATGTCTGGACCTGAGATTTGGAAGTTGTGTAGTTTTGAGTTATTGGGGAAAGATATAAAACAGAAAACAAATATACACGCAACTGAGAGAAAAGACTGATGAATGGATCATTTATCTTATGTATGGATCTGTAATTGCAGAAATAATTACTGGAATAGGGATGGAGAGTGAAATGCTAAAGTGAATGAGGATTGATAACTGGGAGAACAATAGATGATAACTTTAAAGATAATAAATAAATTTTCTCTTAGGGGGAAAAAAAGAAATTATAGTCTAGAACAAGGCTGAGTAAACTATAGCTTATAGGGAAAATCCAGACTTTGGCCTGTGTGGCCAATTAAAGTAAGTCGTGTGTGTGTGTGTGTGTGTGTGTGTGTGTGTATGTGTGTGTTTTAAAACAAACAAACACCCAAAGGATTATAAATCATGCTGCTATAAAGACACATGCACACGTATGTTTATTGCGGCACTATTCACAATAGCAAAGACTTGGAACCAACCCAAATGTCCAACAATGATAGACTGGATTAAGAAAATGTGGCACATATACACCGTGGAATACTATGCAGCCATAAAAAAGGATGAGTTCATGTCCTTTGTAGGGACATGGATGAAGCTGGAAACCATCATTCTCAGCAAACTATCCCAAAGACAAAAAACCAAACACGGCATGTTTTCACTCACAGGTGGGAATTGAACAATGAGAACACATGGACACAGGAAGGGGAACAGCACACACCGGGGACTGTTGTGGGGTGGGGGAAGGGGAAGGGGGGAGGGATAGCATTAGGAGATATACCTAATGTTAAATGACGAGTTAATGGGTGCAGCAAACCAACATGGCACATGTATACATATGTAACTAACCTGCATGTTGTGCACATGTACCCTAAAACTTAAAGTATTAAAAAAAAGTTCTTATTGACACACAAACAAACAAACAAACAAAAGAAAGAGGAGATGAAGGAGGCAGCAACAGCAGCCACAACAGAGACCATATATCGGCTATAGAGCCTAAGCTTTACTCTCTGGCTCTTTAGAACAAGTTTACCATCCTCTAGCCTAGTAGCAGCAATGAGAAATTCACCTAAGAGTTTAGTTAGGTCTGAAGATATGGTTGGCTATGGAAGGGGATCAATGAAAGCTGCCACTTTGAACGACTGCAGCTAAAGCAATATCGTCAGGTTATGGCTATTTTTAGCTAGATAGGAATATACTTAGAGAAAAATTTTGAGAATATATCAGCATATATAATGATGAAAGATCATGATGAGTTCTAGAATCACAGTGAAATATTTTGGAGTGTATAAAACAGTAAGGGACTTGAATCAAATGAAAGGATGCACTACTACACATGAAGAAAGAAGTCTAGGTAAAGAATAACATATGTTTAAACATCCTGTGATGTATCACTGACGTTTAGTTATACTTAAGATCCCTGGGTTTCCTCACTTTTTTGTCTTCTTATGCAAATCTAGGATTTATGAAGTCATTGTCCAGACTATATCAGTTCCTTTCTAGGGCCACTCATAAGCAGTTTGCAAGCTCAAGATAAGTAACACATTATGAATCTGTAGAATGTGGTAATTTCTATACATGTCCATGCTAATCAAGAAACTATTATTCCTGACTGAAAGAAAACCTGTGTTGGCCGGGCACGGTGGCTCACGCCTGTAATCCCAGCACTTTGGGAGGCCGAGGCGGGCGAATCACGAGGTCAGGAGACTGAGACCATCCTGGCTAACACGGTGAAACCCCGTCTCTACTAAAAATACAAAAAATTAGCGGGGTGTGGTGGCAGGAGCCTGTAGTCTCAGCTACTCCGGAGGCTAAGGCAGGAGAATGGGGTGAGCCCGGGGGGCGGAGCTTGCAGTGAGCCGAGATAGCGCCACTGCACTCCAGCCTGGGCGAAAGAGCCAGACTCTGTCTCAAAAAAAAAGAAAAAAAGAAACCCTGTGTTATTCTTCTGGGTATTTCCCACTCAGTCAGAATATGTTGGTTGAACCGAGTGAAGCTCTCATACACTTAAAAGGTAAATGAAACTTTTCCTTAAATTTTATATAAAAAAATTAAACCTAAAAGTGTTTCAAGAACACTACAATAAGCATCCTTGTATTTATCATCTATATATAATTTTCTCTTTCTTTTTACGCTCTCTCTTCCACCCCCCACTTGTCTTTACCCTTCTTGTTCACATTTTACTATTACTGCTTTCTCTTTCTTTCTTCCTTCTCTCCTCAGCCCTTCATTTTGTGTGTGTGTGTGTGTTTGTGTGCGTGTGTATATATAGACACAGATTTTTGGTTTTTTTAAAACTGAAGTGGGTAGAACATTGTGGTTAATGATAGAACATAAATTCTTAATGAATAAATATTTTCTTCAATATAAAAACAATATAACGTAGCACAATCAAAAAGCTTAACATCAATTCAATAATTCTACTTAGTATTTGAACCCAAATTCACTTTTTCCCAATTCTCCTCATAATATCCTTTATAGATGTTTTCTTTGTGACCCAGAATCTAATCTAGAATCATTTTACTTGTTATGAATTTAGTTCTTCTTTGATCCAGGAGAGTTTTCCCTAGAATACTGTTGCCATTCATGACATTAAAGCCTTGCAAAAATATGCAGTTGAAGTTGAGAAACTACTTTTCCATAGTAGACTCTTTTTGTTTGTTTCATACAAGTGAAAATGTGTATGTAAATTTAGCATACAAATTAAAATGATAAGAGCTGATTGTCTCTATTTTAGTGTCCATTTCGGTGAGAGAATGACACGAAAATAATAGCAGTGGGAATTTTTTTCTGAGAAAGCTGACTTTTGTAGTATAATATGTTTACTGAGTGTAAAAGGTAATATAAGTAATGATATTTAAAGAAAAACATAAATGCTTAATCACACACTCTATCTCCATTACTTGCTTTACCACAAAAACTAAGCCAGTTTCTTTAACCAAAAAAGCAATAGAGGTTTTGCTTTGAAGCAATTTTCTTACTATATAAATCTACTGAAAACTGATTAGTGTGATTTATTGTATGCTTTGAAATATAATTATTTGATTTTCTGTACCGTAGAAAAGCAGTGCAATATAATTATTTGATTTTCTGTACTATGCTTTAGTATGTAAAATTCGCCATGTATTTATCTACCCTGTAATTTCATGGTGTTACAATGTTATTACTCAATAATGACATAGCAATTACTCTATAATTGCCCTATCACTGAATAGTTATTATCACATAATTAGAGAATACATTTTCAAAGATTGGGAAAAAATACGGCAATTTGGGCCTTGTAAACAGTTATTGTAAACTTAAATATATTAGAGCTTGCATATAAAATAAACCCAATAAATGCAATTTAAAATCCTATAAATAGTTAATGAAAGTAGTTGAGGATTAAGTTTATGACAAGTATATAATCTTGTGATTATATTAATGGAGCAATTATTTACTTCTCATTAAAATCTATTAGTAAAAGTGTTATTAATAATAAGCAATAATGTACACAATTAAAAACAGGATCAGGAATAATAAATGATAGTCTTTATTAGTGGGAAAATAATAAATGAAACAGCTAAAGAGAATTCCTCCTCTATGTCATTATACAGAAGTATTATTTGCAAGTATTAAATATGGTAACACTTTGAATAGAAATAAAAATAACTATACATTAAATCATTTGTGCTTCTTAGTTTCTGTACTTTTTTAACTTGTGCTGCATGCTGCTAATATACATTTGGTGACATGATTTCGCTCTAAATCAAAATTCTAAAGTAAATCAACATTTTTACCAGTCTATTAAAAATACCACAGCTCCTCCAGATTAATTATTAATTTCCAGAATATTACATTTTTATTTTTGCATATTACACTAGAAATCTCCTTCTCCTAGGCCATCTATAAAATGTTTCCTAGGAAGATTGATGAGTCTTTTGTACCTGAGTCAGATATAAGAACACTGACATTGTCTGTACCAGAACTTTACTATTTCTTCTTCTGGAAATTCACTGGTAGAGTAACTTTTTCTTTTTTCTTTCTTTCTTTCTTTTTTTTTTTTTTTGAGACAGGGTCTCACTCTGGTCATCCAGGCTGGAGTGCAGTGGCACAATCTCGGCTCACTACAACCTCCGCCTCCCAGGTTCAAGTGATTCTCCTGCCTCAGCCTCCAGAGTAGCTGGGACTAGGAGCACACGCCACCATGCCTGACTAATTTTTGTCTTTTTAAGTAGAGACAGGGTTTCGCCATGTTGGACAGTCTGGTCTTGAACACCTGTCCTCAAGTGATCTGCCTGCCTCAGCCTACCAAGGTGCTGGGAATACAGGCATGAGCCACCGCCTCCAGCCAGAGTAAACTTTCAAAAGTGCATCAATTTCTTTCTCTTGCCTGATTGCCCTGGCCAGAAATCTAATACTATGTTGAATAGGAGTGGTGAGAGGGCATAGGAAGAGAGAAAGCCAAGTTGTCTGTTTGCAGAAGACATGATTGTATATTTAGAAAACCCCATCATCTCAGCCCAAAATCTCCTTAATCTGATAAGCAACTTCAGCAAAATCTCAAGATACCAAATCAATGTGCAAAATTCACAAGCATTCCTATACACCAATAATAGAGAGCCAAATCATGAGTGAACTCCCATTCACAATTGCTACAAAGAGAATAAAATACCTAGGAATAGAGCTTATAAGGGATATGAAGGACCTCTCCAATGAGAACTACAAACCACTGCTCACACAAACAAATAGTAAAACATTCCATGCTCATGGATAGGAAGAATCAATATTGTGAAAAGAAAGGTCCATACTGCCCAAAGTAATTTACAGATTCAATGCTATCCCCATCAAGCTACCATTGACTTTCTTCACATAGTTAGAAAAAAACTACCTTGAATTTCATATGGAACCAAAAAAGAGCCCGTATAGCCAAGACAATCCTAAGCAAAAAGAACAAAGCTGGAGGCATCACACTACCTGACTTCAAACTATACTATAAGGCTACAGTAACCAAAAGAGCATGGTACTGGTACCAAAACAGATATATAGACCAGTGGAAAATAACAGAGGCCTCAGAAATAACACTACACATCTACAACCATCTAATCTTTGACAAACTTGAGAAAAACAAGCAATGGGGAAAGGATTCCCTATTTAATAAATGATGTCAGGAAAACTGGCTAGCCATATGCAGAAAACTGAAACTGGACCCTTTCCTTACACGTTATACAAAAATTAACTCACGATAGATAAAAGACTTAAATGTAAAACCTAAAACCATAAAAACCCGAGAAGAAAACCTAGGCAATACCATTCAGGTCATAGTCATGGGAAATACTTCATGACTAAAACACCAAAAGCAATGGCAACTAAAGCCAAAATTGACAAATGGGATCTAATTAAACTAAAGAGCTTCTTCACAGCAAAAGAAACTATCATCAGAGTGAACAGGCATCCTCTAGAATGGGAGAAAATTTTTGCAATCTATCCATCTAACAAATGGCTAATATCCAAATCTATAAGGAACATAAACAACTTTACAAGAAAAAAACAACCCCATCAAAAAGTGAGTGAAGGATAGGAACAGACACTTCTCAAAAGAAGACGTTTATGCAGCCAAAAACCATATGAAAAAAGCTCATCATCACTGGTCATTAGAGAAATGCAAATCAAAACTCACGCCCATTAGAATAGCGATCATTAAAAAGTCAGGAAACAACAGATGCTGGAGAGGATGTGGAGAAATAGGAACACTTCTACACTGTTGATGGTAGAATAACCTAGTTTAACGTTGTGGAAGACAGTGTAATGATTCTTCAAGGATCTAGAGCCAGAAATACCATTTGACCCAGCAATCCCATTACTGGGTATATATATATATATATATATATATATATATATATATACACCTGAAGGATTATAAATCATTCTACCATAAAGACACATACACATGTGTGTTTATTGTAGCACTATTCACAATAGCAAAGACTTGGAACCAACCCAAATGCCCATCAATGATAGACTGGATAAAGAAAATGTGGCACATATACACCATGGAATACTTATTACATTTTTTTTGCAATTTTTTAGTACAGATGGGGTTTCACTATGTTGGCCAGGCTGATCCTGAACTCCTGACCTCAAGTGATCTGCCCACCTCAACCTCCCAAAATGCTGGGATTACAGGTGTGAGCCACTGTGCCCAGCCCTTTCTATGTCTTTTGATTGGAGAGTTTAGTCCATTTATACTCAATATTATTATTAATAACTATGGAGTTACTCCTGCTATTTTGTTATTTATTTTCTTGTTGTTTCATCATCTTTCTTCTTTTTTTCATTCCTGTCTTCCCCTAGTGAACATGATTTCCTGGTGATATGATTAATTTCCTGTTTTTCATTTTTTGGGTATCCATTGTGTTTTTGGTTTGAGGTTGCCACGAGACTTGCAAATACTATCTTATAACCCATTATTTTCACCTAACAACTTAATACTATGTAAAAAAATAGCAGATAAGTAAAAAGAAAACTAATAAAAACTCACTTGACTTTGTCTCCTTGATTTTTTACTTTTTGGTGTTTCTATTTGTAGCTTATTTTACTATGTCTTGAAAGTTGATGTAGTTATTGTTTTCATTGGTTTATAGGTTAGCTTTTCAACTTAGAATAAGAGTAGTTTACACACCACAGTTATAATATTTTGTGTGTTATTACCAGTGAGTTGTGTACTCTCAGATGATTACTTCTCATTAATATTCCTTTCTTTCTGGTTATTTCTTATAGGACAGGTCCAATGTTGACGAAATCTCTCAGCATTTGTTTATCTGGGAAGGTCTTTATTTCTTCTTTAATTTTGAAAGATATTTTCACTGGATATA